>NT_167247.2:4588668-4827813 GCF_000001405.40 Homo sapiens
GGCCAACGTGGCAAAACCCTGTCTCTACTAAAAACACAAAAAAATTAGCTGGGCATGTATCTGGGGAACCCACCCCCAATATTTCAATGCAGGTTCTTTCTATTTTCCCTAAGTGTCGGCCAGTCTGAGAAATAAAGAGAAAGAGTACAAAGAGAGGAATTTTACAGCTGGGCCGCCAGGAGTGACATCACATATCAGTAGGTCCATGATGTCCACCTGAGCCACAAAACCAGCAGCTTTTTATTAAGGACTTCAAAAGGGGAGGGGGTGTACAAACAGGGAGTAGGTCACAAAGATCACATGCTTCAAAGGGCAATAAAGATCACAAGGCAAAAGGCAAAGCAAAGATCACAAGGCAAAGGGCAAAATTAGAATTACTGATGAGGGTCTATGTTCAGCTGTGCACATATTGTCTTGATAAACATCTTAAACAATAGAAAACAGGGTTCGAGAGCAGAGAACCGGTCTGACCTCAAATTCACCAGGGTGGGGTTTTTCCCCACCCTAGTGAGCCTGAGGGTACTGCAGGAGACCAGGGCATATTTCAGTCCTTATCTCAACCGCATAAGACAGACACTCCCAGAGCGGCTGTTTATAGACCTCCCCCCCAGGAATGCAATTATTCTCCCAGAGTATTAATTATCAATATTCCTTGCTAGGAAAAGAATTTAGCGATATCTCTCCTACTTGCACGTCTGTTTATAGGCTCTCTGCAAGAAGAAAAATATGGCTCTTTTAGCCCAACCCCACAGGCAGTCAGACCTTATGGTTGTCTTTCCTTGTTCCCTAAAATCGCTGTTATTCTGTTCATTTTCAAGGTGCACTGATTTCATATTGTTCAAACACACATGTTTTACAGTCAATTTGTACAATAGTGGCCCTGAGGTGACGTACATCCTCAGCTTGTGAAGATAACAGGATTAAGAGATTAAAGTAAGACAGGCATAAGAAATTATAAGAGTATTACTTGGGAACTGATAAATGTCCATGAAATCTTCACAATTTATGTTCAGAGATTGAAGTAAAGACAGGTGTAAGAAATTATAAGAGCATTATTAGGGAAGTGATAAATGTCCATATTAAAATGAAATCTTCATAATTTATGTTCCTCTGCCTCGGCTCCAGCTGGTCCCTCCATTTGGGGTCCCTGACTTCCTGCAACAGGCATGGTGGCAGGCACCTGTAATCCTAGCTACTTGGGAGGCTGAGGCAGAAGAATGGCTTGAACCTGGGAGGCAGAGGTTGCAGTGAGCTGAGATTGTGCCACTGCACTCCAACCTGGGTGACAGAGAAAGACTCCATCTCAAAAAAATAAAATTAAATTAAATTAAATTAAAAAGTCTTGATCCACGTTGCAAATATCCTAGTGGTGTACTAACAAAGCCAGAGGCCTCCTCAGACAGCCAGACACCTCAGAGGCAGACATATATGCAGAGGTAACTAATGGTGGCCTCACGAGGAAAGGGGGCAGCTACTCCATGAGCACAAGCTCTAGATACTTAGCCTTCAAATACTTCAAAAAACAAAACAATCCCTCGGGGAGAGATTTCCGAGCAAAACAAAACAGCCCATTTGTTTTTAGACTCCTGCTATAATGCTTTGCCTAAAGGTATTGGCCAAGGCGGGTGGATCACTTGAGGTCAGGAGTTTGAGACCAGCCTGACCAACGTGGTGAAACTCCATCTCTACTAAAAATACAAAAATTAGCCAGGCATGGTGGCACATGCCTGTAATCCCAGCTACTCAGGAGGCTGAGGCAGGAGAATCGCTAGAACCTGGGGAGCGGAGGTTGCAGTGAGCTGAGATCCACTACTGCACTCCAGCCTGGGTGACAGAGCAAGACTCCCTCTCAAAAAAAAAAAAAAAAAGAAAAAACGAAAAAAAAGAGGGGTTGTCCTTATTTCCCCTTTCTCCTTCAGCTGACTGGAACACAAACATGAAAGCTGGAATTCAAGCAGTCATATTGGACCTGAGAGAGAAGAGCTATGTTGAGGCTGGTGGAAGAAAAAGATAGATAGAAGGAACCTGAGTCTCTGACACTTAAACACTACACCAGCCCTAGGGTTGCATGTGAGAGAGAAATGAACTTCTATCTTGGTGGAGACACTGTTGTTTTCAGGGTTTTCTGTTTCTCACAGCTGAAGCTAATCCTAACCAAGCAGAACAAGCACAAAGTCATCAAAACATAAACTGGAGTTTGCAAAGCACATGTCACTTCCAAGCATCAGATACAGTAAAATGATGAGATGTTTTTCCCAAGCCCTGGCTCAGGACCCTCCCTAACAGCTCCCCGACAAGCCCTTTGTCTTCTTAGTAATCATGCCTTGCATGGTGCCTTTTCCAACATCATGCCCCTCCGTGGAGCTCATTAGTAAGGAGCAAGTGAGATTCTTTTTATTTATCTAATCAGTGAATTCCAAAAACTGACAAACAGGATAAAGAAGGAATACCAGCCACTGTTATGAATGTCAATAAGACATTTGTTCAGTTCAGGACCATCTCAATTTCAGAAGGGACCTGCATAGATTTATTTGCAGTAATAAATCAATAACACAATTCAGTGGCAATTATACTTCCCAGTTTCCCACACTGCATCTATAGCTTCCAGGTGCAAGTCTTAGTATCTTCAAAGCATTTGCAATAGCCATAAAATGGCTCTTTCATGACAGCAAAGTGGTGGCAGGCATTTCTACAGCTAAGGGGTGCCGAACACGTCTCATGCGTCTTTTCTTTATTGGTGAATGTCATGTTTGACAGTGATGTAAATGGAACAGCTATTATGAAAAACGTGCTTATAGTTTAGCCAAAGAAAATATGTAAGGGTAACATTGTAGGAGGGTGGAGTGTAAACATATGAAGAGTCTGGAACCCTGATGGCATCATTAAATGCTCAAACCAATGCTGGAAGCTGTCATCCTCAGATTTCTTATGAGAAAAATGAATTCCTGTTTATTTTAGCCCCTGTTTTTTGGGTTGTCTGGGCCTGCACTTGCAAGCATTTCTGCTGGATGCAGCAGGTCCCAGGAGGCCCTTTCAGACCTAGGGCATTTGGTTGCCTTTCCCACTCTGTGCCTTTGCTTATTTCTTTTTTTTTTTTTTTTGTGACAGAGTTTCACTCTTGTTGCCCAGGCTGGAGTGCAATGCCGTGATCTTGGCTCACCGCAACCTCTGCCTCCCAAGTTCAAGCGATTCTCCTGCCTCAGCCTCCTAAGTAGCTGGGATTACAGGCATGTGCCACCATGCCCGACTAATTTTGTATTTTTAGTAGAGATGGGGCTTCTCCATGTTGGTCAGGCTGGTCTCAAACTCCTAACCTCAGGTGATCCGCCCGCCTCAGCCTCTCAAAGTGCTGGTATTACAGGTGTGAGGCACCACACCCGGCCATCTTTTCTTATTTCCTTTTTTTTCTTTTCTTTTTTTTTTTTTTTTTTTTGAGACAGGGTCTCATTCTGTCTACCAGACTGGAGTGCAGTGGCATGATCTCGGTTCACTGCAACCTCTGCTTCCCTGGTTCAAGTGATTCTCCTGCCTCAGCCTCCCCAGTAGCTGGGATTACAGACACGTGCCACCACACCTGGCGAATTTTTTGTATTTTTAGTAGAGACAAGGTTACACCATGTTGAACAGGCTGATCTCGAACTCCTGACCTCAAGTGATCCACCTGCCTTGGTCCCCCAAAGTGCTGGGATTACAGGCATGAGCCACTGCACCTGGCTGCTTATTTCTTACGGGATCTCTCCAGTTTAGAGCAGAGGTTCTCAACACAGCCTGCACTTTGGAATTGCCTGGGGAAATTTTACACAAGTCCCTTTGCTCACGCCCCAAATGGGTTGAATCCAGATCTCTAAGGGTGAGCACAGGTGGGCATGACTATTTTTAACAGTTCTTCTAGATTAGTGATTCCCAATTTTTTTAAATCTCAATTTGAAAAAAATCTCTCAATGTTTTAAGAGTATAAACCCCTTAAATTACTGAAAACACTGAAAAGCTTTACTTACAATATTGTTATTGATATTTACTGTATTCAAAATTAGAACTGAAAAAGATTTTTAACATGTATTAATTCTTTTTAAGATAGCAATAACAGGCAAGGCTCAGTGGGTCACGCCTGTAATTCCAACACTTTGGGAGGCCAAGATGAGCAGATTGCTTGAGCTCAGGAGTTGGAGACCAGCCTGGACAAGATGGCAAAACCCTGTCTCTACAAAAAATACAAAAATTAGCCGGGCATGGTGGCTGGCGCCTGTAGTCCCAGCTACTTGGGAGGCTGAGGCTGGAGCATCGCTTGAGCCTGGGAAGCGGATGTTGCTGCAGTGAGTTGAGATCGTGCCACTGTGCTCCAGCCTGGGCGACAGAGCAAGACCATCTCAAAAAAAAAAAAAGCAATAATAAACCACTTTTGTATATGCTTAAATTTGTCCATAATAAAAGTAAACAAAAAGGACTTTAAATAAATTACGGAAAATGTAGATCTTTAAAGAATTAGAAGACCATCAACTTTATTTGGATCATGAGTCAAACACACACACACACACACACACACACACACACAAAACCTACAAAACAATCTTGGAAATCTGAACACTGACTGGATATTTGATGACAACAGGAATGATTATTAAAATTGTGGTAACAGAATTGTGATTACATTTTAAGAGTAAACCAGTAAAATCTTTAACAAAGACACAAGGAGGGCCCATGGATCCATTATGTACAGTAGCCACAGTGCCTAGGGCCCACAATACTCCCATGGCAATGTTTACATTTCTTTTAAAATAGAAAAAAAATTAAGGTTGAAGAAAATATTTTAATATATAATATTAATATAGTTGCCTGTGTATCAACACAATCATAAGTATGATTTCAAATTTATTGTTTAGAAAAGTGCATAGGGCCCGCAGAAGTCACAATGCAGCCCTGGATATAACGGCCATGAAAGTTTATGTGCTGAATCACAAAGTGGCAAAATATGAACTGGCAGAGATGTCGGCCTCTGAGGTTAGAGAGGTCATGGCCACAGCTGCTGAATGTGACTTTGGGTTGCCCATCCAGGAGATTGGGTGGCAGGGAGAGCAAATGTGATCATGAAGGGGCTGGTTGTATCACGCTGGTCAAATGCATACAAAGGAGTCTGTTTAGACAGAAGCGAAGAAGGGAAAGCAAGCGGACACCTCCTGGGGGCCTCAGGATCCCACATTATCTGGAAACAGTGCCCCCAACACCCCTCCACCTCCACCAAAAGGCATCCTACATACCTCTTGGTTGGTACACTGGGCCCTCAGCCACAGAAAATTGGTTCTCAGGGACAGAGATAACCCAAGCTAAGCCAATCAGATTGTCTCTCCATGACTTTGAACCATGGGGCCCAGAGACACAGAGGTCAAGAGCAGCTCTGCTGAGCGGTGAGTATCCACACTCCAGGGACAAAGTCCATGAGCCCCTGAGGTTCCCAGAACTGCTCTCAGTCTTCCCTATTGAGTCAACTCTGTCTTCAAATCCTGAGAAACCCAATATTTTTACAATCAATTCCTTTTGGAGCTTAAGCTATTCTGAATCAGATTTTGCGATTTGTAACAAGAAAATAATAATAGTAAGTATAGAGTTTTAACAGCACTAAAATCAAAAGTGGAAAAGGGACAGCAGCATGCCCCAGACACCCGTGTGTCAGCAATAACCAAGACATGGAGATGGAACCAAGACAGCTTGTCAGGTCCCTCCCCTCACTTTCCATTGCAAAGGCTGTCAGTAAAGGGGGAATTATTCCTTTACAGAGCAAGTATTATCCCACTTTGCAGGTGAAGAAACTGATGCTGAGGTTAAGTGTGCAACTCAGAAGCAAAGCATCCCTGACAAGCTAAGGGAAGGAGAACTCTCAGTTGGAAATACAGAGAGGCCCGCTGCCAGCTAGAATCAGTGCCACCTTTGGCCCTAAGTCTGCTCAACCCACCCAAAACTAGACCACCTGCCACTCAAACTCTTTTGTCTGAGTCCCTCTCTCCCCAGGGCCCCAATCAAACAGGGTGCTATTTCTCATCTTCTCCCTAACCCTAATGTCTCTGAAACATGTTTGTTGGGTTTGGGGTTTGTTTGTTTCTATAGATTTGCAGTTCTAAAAGTAAGGAAAACCTGCAGGTATTAATACAAATAACCACAACTGGGAAGGGATGGAATTATAAGAAATCTCTCCCAGCATTAGTAATACCAGTATGCCTTATTTCATGAGGAGAGCAGGCCGATTACCTGACCCAACAATATAGCCCAGGCCCGGGGGAGATGTGAACACAATGAGGAATATATCTCTATGACCCACATTCTTTGGCCTGAGGCTCTGCCGGAGTCCAAGCCTGTTATAGGCTTGGACTAGCAGGACAGGTCTTCTCTACTGAGATGGCAGTCTGCTGTCAGTGCCAGTTCCCATGAAACTACTCTGAAGATGAAAGAAAAGATAACAGAAGGCCAGTTATAAGCACTTAAGGTGACTTCTGCTTACTCTAGGTTTGAGTTGAGAAACATAGCTATGGCCTACACATGTACAGTCTGTGAACTGCACAGCTCGACAGAAAGAAGCTCCAGTGTGGCCCTGATGCTCCCTGCTGACCACACCACACTTGCAGGAAAATGGGCTAAACAACCACAAAACAAGGTGGCCACCAGCTACTACACAGAAACTTATTTCTGAGGCAGCTGGAGCCCTTTGTTTGTTTGTTTGTCTGTTTGTGATGGGGTATCTCTCTGTCACCCAGGCTGGAGTGCAGTGGCAAGAGCATAGCTCACTGCAACCTCAAACTCCTGGGCTCAAGTGATCCTCCTGCCTGAGTCTCCTGAGTAGCTGCAACTACAGGCACATGCCACCATGCCCAGCTAATTTTTAAATTATTTTTTTGTAGAGAAAAAGGGCCGTGCGTGATGGCTCATACCTGTAATCTCAGCACTTTGGGAGGCCGAGATGGGCAGATCTCTTGAGCCCAGGAGTTCTAGACCAGCCTGGGAAACAGGGCAAAATCCCATCTCTACAAAAAATACAAAAACTAGTGGTACATGCCTGGAGACCCAGCTACTCGGGAGGCTGAGGTGGGAGGATGGCTGGAACCCACGGAGGTTGAGGCTGCAGTGAACCATGATCTTGCCACTCCACTCCAGCCTGAGTGACAGAGACCCTGTCTCAAAGAAAGAGAGAAAGAGAGAGAGAGAAGGAGTTTTGCTTTGTTGCCCAGGCTGAGAGCCTTGTTTTGACTCACTCCCTCCTCTGTCTCATCTCCACCCCCACCTGCCCTGGTCCATTCAAAACTACAAACCTCAGCATGCAAGACAGCCAAGGGAGGGCAAGAACAGCTCTGTGTAGCCCATGGCCTTCTAGGATATGTGGTGCTCCCAGGTACAGTGATATAAGTGGTCTGTAAGTTATTTTTATTTTATTTCACAAGTTATTTTTTAACCATAAGTTACAGATGCTAAAAATATAAGCCCAAAGCTGAAAAGCAGCTCCAAGGGTGTGACAGGACAGAGGACCCACCCCACAGCCCTCCCTCTATACATGATCTCCCACGCGGTGGCTCACGCCTGTAACCCCAGCAGTTGGGAGACCGAGGCGGGAGGATCATGAGGTCAAGAGATCAAGACCATACTGGCCAACGTGAGGAAACCCCGTCTCTATTAAAAATACAAAAATTAGCCAGGCGTGGCAGTGCACACCTGTAGTCCCAGCTATCCGGGAGGCTGAGGCAGGAGAATTGCTTGAACCTGGGAGGCAGGGGCTGCAGTGAGCCGAGATGGCGCCACTGTACTCCAGCCTGGGCGACAGAGCGAGACTCTGTCTCAAAAAACAAAAAAAAACATGATCTCCCTGTGCGCCCCATCCCAAACCCTCCTCTCCTTCGCCACCATGCCAGCACACAATTCCATCATATCACTTGCCTTTTCAAACACCATCTATGACTCTTAGTTTTTGGGTTCAAGTTCAACTCCTTCCATAAGCAGTCAATACTTTTCAGAATTTGGCCCCTCCAACAAGAGTTTATGTTCTGCCCCAATCAAACCCAAAGTAGTTCCCTAAAGCCTCTGCCTTTCTCTTCCCTATCTCCTCCCACCCCACCCAGAAGCCTCCATTGCCCACCAGCCAATGGAGACACTGCCACTACCCACAGGCCCAGAGCCTGGGCACTTGCCCTGTTCACACCCAGCCCCACCCCAAAACCCCGCCTCTACAGCCCTGCCCTTAAACCCCTCCCACCCTTCCTTAGAGCCTGGCTCTAGCTTTCTGGAGGGGAGGAAGAAGTTAGCTGCCAAGAGAAGGCTGTGGGCCTGGCCTCCTCAACAGCAACTTGGCACAGACTCCCTCGTGAAACTGTTAGATGGGGTTGGTTGGCAGCACTGTGTAATTAAATAGGCTTTTGTGGATTGGCCTGGGGACTTAGCCGCCGTATATAAATGTTATTCGAGTGACTGTACAGCATTGTTTCCATGCAGAAAAGCCCTCGGAACTCAGAGCATCTGACCAAACGTGACCTTTGGGAAAGTCCTCTTGCTGTTCGGGGGGCGACCTCTGCGGGTTTGGCTCCAGCTGCAGAAAGAGCGCCAAAGAAACCTCAACTCCAGCCCGGCTAGGCTGGGAGTGGGTGCGGGAGAAACAGATGGGGGGCACCTATTTAGATCTGATCTTCTCTTAATGTGACCCTGAGAGGGAGGGAAGGGGGTGTCTGAAGCCCCTGGGCCTTGGATATTGAGATGGAGAGCATGGGTGATCCCAGAAAACCTATCCACCACCGGACCCCTGACAGATGAGATCAGGGGCTTCTTCCTCCATTCGGCCTTCGGGGTCAGGGGGTTCAGCGGGTGACAAGGGAGAGGCGTCTGAGGGACCGGGATTATTCAGCTGACCCGGTGCGGGGCCGCGTTCTCAGCGCGGGCACTAGGGGGCGGCAGAGGCGGAGGCGCCAGCGCCGAGGAGAGGCTTCCACCCTCGAGAAGTTTTTCCGCGCACCCGCCCGGGCCAGAGTGGCCGTCTAGACGCCCACGTGGGGCTTCCTGCGATCGAGAATGGGTTGGGACCGGGACGGCCAAGCCGATGCTGTCGGGGACACGCTGGGAGGAAGAAGTACGGGGAGGAGGGGCGGGGGCGCAGCCTACCCGGGCTCGGGCTCGGGGTGAAGGGCAGCCCTGCCAGGCCCGCCCCGAGGCCGCGGATGCGAAACCGGGACACAAAGGCACGCACTCTTGATTCTGGCGCCCGCGAGGAAGAGGGTTGAGGAAGAGGAAATTAGGATGAGGCCCTGGAACACGTTTTAATGCAGCGCCCTGACAGGCAGGAGCCAGGCAATACTGCTTGGGAATGTGAAGCCCCATGGGCACCAGCTAGGGGGTCCCGGCTGCGCGGCCAGCCTTGGAAGAGAGGACTTCTTGGACACCTAACCCGGAGGGAGCAGAGCTTCTGAGTGCCCAGGAGAGGGAGGCTAGGGAAGTGGGGGACAGTCAAGAGTGGGGGGACACAGGCAGGGACTGTGCGACTCCACCCAACACAAAGACTCAACGAGTATGCACGTGACTACACGTGAGTGTGGAGGGCTTGGCCACAGCCCTGTCTTCATGACAGCACAGCACAAGGCTGATGGGGAGGGATAAGGTGACCAGAGGTACAGATGCAGTAAATGTCTTGGAAGTGGGCCTCAGCCTCCCCATTTACAGAGATTAGACTGGGCTATGTAGCACCGTCCCACCCACACCCAGAAGCAATCGCACACCCGTGTCAGAAACTGGAGCCATAGGGACCCCAAACCCCTACCTGGTGTCCCTGGGGCATTGTTTGTAATTTTATGCTAGTCACCCAGGCTTTGTAAACTCTGGGCCCTGACACCCCAGCTGGACAGGGCTTGCAGGGTATCTGGATTAAGCCATACAATTCTGGTAACCACTTAGCTGGGAAGAGGAAGCATCAGATGGGTGTCGGGGGAGACTGAAATAACAACACAAGCAGTGACACAGACACCTGGGAGGAGACAATCACATTATTTAACCATCAGTCAGCATGGAAGCTGGGCACAGGGTCCTGGGAGTCCCTTCCATATGCCACACATTAACCCTTTAATTGCAGGATCAGGGAAAGTGAGGGGTGCCCAGGGGAGGGACAGGGGTGGCAATGAACATACTCAGTGGCTCAGGGCCATGGCAATTTACCAGCCAATATAGAAGAATTTTAATATTCCAGCCATCTGCGGGATGCAGCCCTGCACACACCCCACACTATTCCGTTTCTTCCCTGGGGGAGCATCCTGGCCCTCAAGTAGCAGGCAGTGCCTGCCAAACCCAGACCAAGTGGAAGAGACAGTGGGCACATGGGCCAGGCAGCCAACACCTGTGGGTTAGAGAGCCCCACCCTGGCAGAGTCAGAGCCCTGAGGCCAGGGAGACCACATATTCCAACTTTCACAGTGGGTGCGACAGGTGAGGTGGGAGGAAGGTGGGAGGGAGGTGGGGTTCAGCCCTGAAACCCCCCTACACACAGTCACTGAGGAAAGTCCTGACTCCAGGATGTGGGTGCCGGAGCCCACCCCCGAGACCCCTGTCTTCAACATCTGCTGATTTTTGTTGGCGTTTCTCTTTTTTGTTATTTTGCTTTCCACACTTTAAATAATTAATACAATTACTTTTAAATACAAAATACGCCATGTCCTTTCTCTTCTCTTCCATTTGTTTGGGGTGATTGGGAGGTGAGTTTTAAATAAGGGTCTCAGCTCTCTAACGGGTAACAGGCTCCAGGTGGGAGGGCCAAGAGCCCCAGATGCCACTCCTCCCGTGGGGTGTCCAGGCAACCACTTCACCCCTCCCCTGGCCTGCCCCGACTGAGGGCTCTCCACGCCCTGGCCCAGGGCTCCCTAGATAGTGAGGAGCCCTCTTGGGAGGTGGCACAGAGCTGATGTTGTGGGATTCCAGGTGGGCCTGGTTCCGAATGGACAGGATCAGACAGAGACGGTCCTATCCCATGAAGCAGACAGGCCCCAGCAGCACCCCTCCCCGCCTCGGTGGGGCTCCCAGGTCTGAGAAGGAGGCATCCAGCACTGGCAGCTGCTCCAGCACAGGCGTTCGCACCTCCAGCACCGTCCGGCCTTGCTGTGTCTTCAGGGGGAGACAAGGAAGAAAGTGTGAGCAGGATGGAGGCACCCCCCACCCTCTAACCTCAGGCCCAGGCTCACCTCTCCTCTGAGCACCTTGGCCCCATCAGGGTGACTCAGGATGTACAGACTGGCAGTGTCTGTGTGCCCATGCGTGTGTGTTTGCTTCTCCCCCACCGTGTGCCTCTGCTGGGCAGCCATGTGCCAGTCTGTGTACACGTCTGCATTAACCTGTGTGACGCTGGTGTTTGTACCCAAGTGAACCTCACCCGATGGCTTCCATCCTTTCCACCTTCCTCACTGGCTTTTGAGCTCCCTCAGGCATCCCTGACAATCCAGCAGGACGGACTCCTCCCTGCTCCCCCTGGGTGCCCTGCCCAAGGGGTCTTCCCACCTCCTTCCTCCAGCCTGAGTCTGAGATCAGCCCCCAACCCAGCTCTTCCTGTTCCCACCTGGCAGCCATCTCTGAATTCTTTGACATAGGGGCTAGTCTCCGGGCTCAGCTCATCCTCATTGGCCCCACGGAGTCTCAGGGGACCGTCACGGGCTGCTCCAGAGCAGGGGTAGGAGACGTCCTGGTGGGCTGAGACGCTGAGCAGCCGCAGGAAGGTGAGCTGGACCACACCCACTGGGGAGCCCTCTGAGTCCACGTAAGAGAACTGGAAGGAGAGAGAGGGCTGGCCTCAGAGGGGGAGAGAGAGGGCTGGCCTCAGAGGGAGACAGAGACGGGCCTCAGGAGCATCTACAGCACCAGGACAGCTGAGCCAGAGTCATGAGCAGGGAATGGCTGGAAGGCAAGGGCTGGGAAAGAAGTGAGGGGCTGAGTGGGAGCCAGGAGACTGGGGGTACACGAAAGGCAAAGTGAGCATCAGAGGACCGGTGAAAAGGAAAAGAAGAAAGAGCTAAGAAGTGGAGAAGGGGTGGCAGGCTCCGGGGGGGGCAACAGCCAGGGGACTGTCACCAAAACCCAGAAACCACTAAGCCCTGAGGGGGTGCACTATGGGGCAGGGGAGGGGCAGCGAGGGGCCAGCTCTCACCTGCGTGACGTCATCCCTAGGCGTCACACAGGTCTCACCCCCTGCTGTGAAGTTGCAGAAAACTCGGAAGGCATCCCGAGCACAGCCCTGGTTGGGGTCGACCCAGTACTCTCCTGTTGGGTGAGGGAGAGGGGAGGTCAGGGCCACCTAGGTCCAGGCTCCAAGATGCTCTTTGCCCCCACATTCCCTCTTCCCTCCCAGCCCTCCCCATCATGCTCTTAGTCTCCTGGTCCTCCTCCCTCCCAGAGCCCTAGAATCTAGCCCTACTGCTGGATTCTACTGCAGCATCCTACTGCTGCAGCTCACTTTCATCACGTGACACCTCTGCCCCCAACAGTAACCCCAGGCCCTCTGACTGGAGGAGGTCCGAGTATGGACAGCCTCATACTGGGACAACATGTGGTTGCAGGCGCTCACACAGATTCATCTGTTCAGGTGCAAACAGGTGTGTGCACGTATGTATGTTTATCTGCTCCTGCAGACACTGGGCTGATAACCAACTGGTACACACTGACCCAGATCAGTTGCTAAAGTATTGGGATACTTCTGACCTGGTTAGTAAATAGCTGCAGTTCCCAGCCCCTCAGCCCTCACCCTTAACCCAACACCTTCACCAAGACTCCCCCAGCATCCATTCTGCTTGTTCAGTACCCATGCTGTTGGGGAGATGTTTGTGCACCCTGAGGCTAGCACTGACCATCGGGAAGCTCTGGGTGGCACAGCTTCAGGTCCTGGCAGGTGCGAGCAGGGCTGTCCTGGGTCCCTGTTGGCCGCCTCATCTGCTCGATCTCCTCCCGCAGGGAGTCGAGTGAGCCAAAGATCTCCTCCAGCCCCCCAGGACTGCCGGGGGCTCCCCCGGTCGGTATGGCCTCATCTTCCTGCATCAGACGGCTTCCATCCACCGAGCGCCGAGTCTTCTTGGGCATCTGAATGGGCAGTGGCTGGATCACCTCGCCTGGGGGACCCTGGGTGCAGGGACAGATGGAGAGGGCAAGAGACAAGGTTGGTGTGAGGGTGAAGTGTGGCAGCAGTGGAGCAGAGGGGTACGGCCCTGGGAGCAGCCCTGACTCCTCACTCACCGGGTGTCCTGGAGGGCCCTGCACACCCTTCTCTCCCTTGGGTCCGCCTGGGCCCTGACAAGGAATAAATCAGGTCATGGAGGGGTCAAGAGGTCAAGCATGGATCAAGGTCACAGAAAGATCAAATCAGCCTCCTGGCTGGAATAAGGGGCTCCTTGGGGGGAGTCTATTTGTCCTGGAGAGACATCATCAAGTCCAGAGGGGGTGGAGCAAAGGTCAGAGCTGAAGGGGGTCACTCACTGTGGCTCCTTTGGCTCCTTTGGGGCCAGCAGGTCCCTGTGAAATGAGGAACAAGAAAGAGACGGTCACTGCAGGGGAAGGACAGGACTCAGAGGAGCGGGGAGGCAAGGTCCCAAGTCCACAGGAGCCTCGGGTTACTACAGGAGGGGCAGTCCTGTGGGAATACTAGGACATTCAGAGCCCTGGAAGTATGGGGAGGAGGTACTGGTGGTGACAGGACAAATGGGGGACCCTGAGGACTATGCTTGTTAGGCTGGTAGTTCCATGGAAGTCGTTGGGAGGCTGTGGGTGGGCAGCAGAGGGGTTTAGGGGATTTTGTGGAGGAACAGAGGCAGTACTCACGGGGAGGCCGGGGGGACCTCCAGGACCAATGGGGCCGGATGCTCCTGGGATACCCTAGGAAGGGTAGTGGCTGGTTCAACTGGGTCCTCCTCCCACACCCTCATGAGCACCTGCTCGCTTACCCACAGCTGAGTCCCAACTCCAACTCCACCCCTCTCCACCCCACTCTCAACCCCCACAACTTCCGGGACCATGCCCTCTACTCACCATCTCACCCTTCTGCCCAGGGGAGCCCTGAGGCCCAGGAAGTCCCCGATCTCCCTTCTCTCCCTGCTCACCCGGGGGCCCAATCAGTCCAATGAGACCTGGGTGGCCCTAGAGAAGGGTGCAGGCAGTCAAGAGAATGCAAAGAGGAGTCATGTGGATGGGGGAGAAGGGCCAAGAGGACATGGAGAGGGAGCCGGGCACAGGGTCCGTGAGTGGCCCTCACTGAGCAGGGACTCCCTGGGACTGGCTGCCGGAGGCCTGAAGCAGAGCAGTGGGCACTTGGGTCCCACAGGTTTCAGGGGCGAGGGTGATGGGAGAGACACCTGGCCACGTGTCTGTCTGTCACTCACCTTCTCTCCCTTGGCTCCAGCATCGCCCCGGAGACCAGGCAGCCCTGGGGGTCCCTGTGGAGAGATGGGAAGTCATTCTCTTAAGGGAGAGGTGGGACCAAGTTCTCCCCAACAGCCTCCACTTCCTCCAGGGCTTCAGCTCTGTCCCAGGGCACTGCCCTCACCCCTCACTCAGCCCAATCCCAGTCACTCACCACAGGACCTGGGGGCCCAGCCTGGCCTGTAGCTCCAGGTCGGCCTTGCTGACCCTGAAGATTTGAGGGGGCCACAGGGGTCAGGAGGAGCATCCCCACACTGCACCCCTCCCATGGCCCCTCACTCCCACCCCAGCCCAGCCCTTCCCTGCAGTGACTCACCACTGAGCCTGGGAGCCCCCTCAGACCATCAGGGCCAGGTTTCCCTGCTGGGCCTGCAGGACCCACCGGGCCTGTCTTCCCCGGGGCACCTATAGCGCCAGGATCTCCCTGAAACACACACAAGGAATGTGTCCTGAATGGCAGAGGAGTGGGGTGTGGGCAGGGGGCAGAGGGTCCAAGGTGGGAGGTGGGAGGCAGGGAGGAAGGGCCAAACTCTAGGAGCCCCTAGCGCAGGAACAAGTACAGGGAACGCCTGTCCCCATAAGGGCCCAACATGGGAGAGGTGGAGATGGGGTGGGCATCTGGAGACGGAGGCATCTGAGGGGTGGGAGGCGGAGGGGATGCTCCAGCACTAGGGCAGCCTGTCCCTCACCTTGGCTCCCTTCCCTCCTTGTCGCCCCTCGGAACCAGGCGAGCCAGCAGGACCCTGCAGGTGGAGTGGGAAGGAAGAGCACATGAGGCCGTGGGCAGCCAGGCTCAACTCTTCCCCCTTCCTGTCCTAGACACACACATACACATGCACACACACACGTGCATACACAGGGACACGCGCCGAGGGCCGATTCACAGATGTGCAGAACAGATACAGCTGTGACAGTTGTGAAAATACTGGGTAGTCTGTACATTTGGTGAAGGGCCACTTGCCCACACCCTACCTGGTGGCCCGTCTCCTGCCCCAGAAACTAAAAAGGTTCACCCCTGGCCCACAGAAAAGCTGGCCAGCCCCTCCTCCAGTTTCCATTCTGCTTTGTCAGTAACGACCACTACCCCTGGTGAAAACATACACACCAGAACCCAGGAACAAACATGCCCGAGATACCGCACACCCATCAACCCACCAGCTCCTGCACACACACTCGCCCAGTGCAATGAGATACCGCATACCCTTAAACCCACCAGCTCCTGCACACACACCCTGCCCCGGGCAATGAGATACCACACACCCTTAAACCCACCAGCTCCTGCACACACACACACCCAGGGCAATGCAGACACCAGGCACCTCCCCACCCATCCCACCTGCCATTGCCCAGCCTCCACCCACACAGCCCAGGGACTGCCTCCCAAGGTCTCAGGGGTCCACCTCACTTACTCGCTTTCCAAGTGGCCCTGGGGGTCCATTCTCCCCGGTGGGACCAGGGGATCCCTAGGGAGAGAGGAATTGGGGTGGCTGAGTGTTTATCCTCCAGCCAAGGGACCCCTCAGGAGTGGGGCACAGAAGAGGGGTAAAGAGGATGAGGCTTGGGCTCAGGGGGGTGGTGGGGTCACCAGGCACTCACAGGCTGTCCTGGCTCACCATCCTCGCCTCGGTCACCCTTAGCACCATCCTGGCCCTGCAGAAGTGAAGCAAGGTCAGAGGTGGGCCCCCAACCTGGCTGGCATCACCTCCAAAACTGTCAATACCCCATCCCCTTGCCCACCCTGCCATACCCCCAGCTTCCCAATACCCAAGCCCAGCGGCCACACAGAGGACCCCCCCATAGAAGCCCCACCCTTTTTGCCCCTTCCCTTCTCTGAGTAAGACTCACCCGAGGGCCACCTTCTCCAGGGGGGCCAGGGTCACCAGGAAAACCAACAGGACCCTGATCCAGATGGAGAATAAGAGTCAGGGTCACAGCTCCCTAAGCCCACCCAGCACAGACGCCCACAGGCACACGCCACTGCCTCTCTAGAGGCAGTGCCCACCAGTACCCCCCAGGAAGAGGTCTCCTGCACCCCTTTCCCTACCACGTGCACTGCGTGTTGTCTAATTCCTCAAGGTATTAACTGCAGGGCATCTCTCACTTTCTCTCCGGATCCTAGACCCCAGGCATCCCTCTGGATGCCCCATTCCCAGAGCATCCCCCAAACTCCCGGGCTCCCCACACTCCAAGATCCTCCCTCACACACACCCATATTCCCAGGTCTGTCATTCACAGGGCCTGAGAGGACTCAGCCCCCACTGCCCCAAACTCACAGGGTTCCCTTTGGGGCCATCATCGCCTGTGGGGCCTTTAGGCCCTGGTGGCCCTGGCTCTCCTGGCTGCCCCGACTCTCCTTTCTCTCCACGTTCCCCGCGTGGACCCTGCAGAACAAGCGGAGGACACAGATGGCCCAGGGAATCTTGAAGATCAGGGATGCAGCCTCTGCTTCCGAGACACCTTCAGCCATCCCCTACTCCCCTCAGTGACAATGGGACATACACAGAAAGTCAAGCCTATAAGGGGAGTTCCCTAGTCCCCTTCCCTTCAAGAAAGGGGAAGAAGGGCTCACTCAGACCAGGGATCAGGCCTCATAGAGGATGGCAGGGAGCAGAGACTCTTGCTGCAGAGGAGTTCCAGCTCAAGGAGGTCACAGGAAAAGTGGAGGCAGGGTTGAGGCGGGTGACGGGGACTGGGGAGTAAGGCCTTGGAGCTGTCACTCACCTTGACACCTGGCTCGCCCTGGATCCCTGGAGATCCTGACTCTCCTGGTTCCCCCTGCAAAGAGATTAGAGTCAAAAACCTCCTCTCCTTCCCCAGCCAAAAAATTCTGATATTCCCCACATCTCATTCTCTTTTGTCTCCCCACCCAAAATTGGCAGAAATCCAACTCCCATCCCCCACTTCCATGACTGGTCCACTCACCCCCTTCCCAGTTACCTTCTCTCCAGGGGGACCCAGGTTCCCAACACCTCCTGGGGGACCTTGTGGGCCCTGGAAGAGGAACAGAAATAGGTGTCATTGCTTAGGATGGAGGTGCCATTTCAGGGGCAAAGTCCCAGATGAGCAGCCCAAGGTTACAGCAGTGAGGCAGTGGAGGCCTCCCGGGAGTAAGGGCTTCTCTTGGCCCCCGAGACGATACTAGAGTTTATGGTCTGGGAAAGGGAGGCAGAAGACCAGACACATTGGTCTCAAGGGACAGGGGCTGAGATGACTCACATCAGCGCCATTGGGTCCAGCTGGACCTCGAGGTCCTGGGGGGCCAGGTGGTCCCTGGGGGAAACAGATACACCACAGATGAGGAAGGGAAGTGAGATGGCTGAGCATGAATGGTGGAGAGAGGAGGAGGAGCAGCCAGGCCAGGGAGTTGGCAGTGGGGTGTGGGGTGGGGGCTGGCCAGGGAGGGGGGTGACTAGTATGGTGGCTAGGGTCAGTAGGGGTCACACTCACCATAGGACCCACATCTCCTGTTTCTCCCTTCTCCCCAGAGGGGCCTGGCAAACCCTGTGCAAGTATACAAAACATGGGCCCAGGTGACGACCCCACCCAAAGCACAGCCCTAGGCAGATAGGCCCCACAGTCCCCTCCCCTCAGACTCCGCAGGCCCTCCAGTCCGCATCGGCAGGCTGCTGGCAGAGTCTGGGGCAAAACATCACCCCATCCTGACCCCACCTCTCAGCCCCTGTCCTATCCCCCAACACACCTGTAGGCCAATGGGTCCTGGGGGCCCATTGAATCCTCTTGTTCCTTCATCACCTTTGGCTCCAAAGTGTCCCTGGGGTCCCCGAGCTCCGGGCTCCCCATCTGCTCCCTGCAGGGTTGAGGGAAAGCAGAGACAAGGACACAGGGATGGGTCATGGGTCGGTGTTCTCTATCCACAAATACCACACACAGCTGGGTGCCAGGCCCAGAGCCCCTGCTCCCACTCCCAGCCACAAGGGCAGAGGGGAGCTGAGGGAGGACCAGAGGCTGCTGGGCCTTCGGTGGGGGTGGAGGGGTCACTCACCGCTGCTCCAGGCTGCCCCACAGGACCAATGGGTCCAGGGGGTCCAGGAGGGCCCTGGGTAAGAAAAGAGAGTCAGAGACACCAAAACAGGGAGAGAGATCAGGTGGGACTGAGGTTAAAGGCCAGGAGGTCAGAAGTCAAGGTCATGGACACTTACATGTTCACCCTTGTTCCCTTTGGTGCCCTTCTGTCCGGGGTCCCCCACCTCACCCTGGGAGGAGAAGGCAGACAAGATATTAGAGAAAGGTGATGGGTAGAGTGGGAAGGATGACATGACAGGGGCCAGGGGTCATGCCCAGGTCAGCCATCTCATCTGGAAAGAAGATTGGTCGGGGTCTGTGGGGTCCCCTCACCTTGTCTCCATCCTCTCCAGCCACACCTGGAGGCCCAGCAGGACCAGGAAGCCCCACAGGACCCTGCACTCCATCTCGGCCAGTTGGGCCAATGGGGCCCTTCTCACCCTGTGGGACAGGAGGAAGGAGTCATGGCCTGGAGGTGACCCTCACCCTCAAACACCCCACAGGAAACTTGTCATAGCCCATCAACCCTAGGCTCACAGACCCCTCCCCAGTACCCCTCCCCAAGACCCCCACACTCACTGGGACACCTTTCTCTCCTGCTGCTCCAGGGGGACCCTGCGGGCCTGGGCGCCCTGGCGGACCAATGGGTCCCCCTGATCCTGCTGCACCTCGTTCCCCAGGGGAGCCCTGAGAAAGCAGATGGTCAGACCCCCAGGAAGGAGACACCAGCCCGCCCATACCAGAGAACCTCGGACCACAATTCCCAAAAGCTCCCAAAATCAGATGCATTCTGGCTGTCCCTGGACAGCCTCTGCCCAGCCCCACAGCCCCTGGTGGTATCAGAATGCCACTCCCACCCTTCCTCACCCACCCCTTTCCCGGGTCCTTCCTACCACTTCCGGAACCCCAGACTCACTGCAGGGCCAGGGGGGCCAGACGGACCTTCATTCCCCTTCAAACCAGGTCCACCCTATGAACCAGACATTTGGGGAAGATGAGACTTCACGAAAAGAGAAGGGTGAGAGCTGGAGAGGGAAGACAGGCTCCAAAAGATGGAAGTGGGGAGTGACATGGAGGGGGTCAGGGACAGGGTCGGGGGGGGGACTCAGGATGCTTGGTGCTTGTGACAGGCAGGGGTCTGGGAGTCACACTCACAGCAGTGCCTGGGAGGCCTCTCTCTCCTGGGAATCCCCTCAGACCAGCAGGACCATCCTTCCCTGGGGCCCCAGGGGGACCAGGGTCACCCTAAAAGGAAAGGAGAGGTGATGAGCCACAGCCATGCTCCCAAATTAAACAGAGAGCTCTCCAGCCCCCCCTCAAATCTCCAACTACCTGTTCCTTTCAGCACCCCAATCCCCAGCTCCCCCACTTCCCCTCTGCCTGGCCCCTCACTGACCTTTGTTCCTTCTTTTCCAGCTGTCCCAGGTAGTCCCTGCTCTCCAGGGGGCCCCGGGGGGCCTGGGTGACCTCTCTCCCCCATAGGGCCGGTTTCTCCTGCTGCTCCCTAGACAAAAGCAGAGAGAGTTCCTGCTCTCAGGCCCTTCATCTCGCTGTCTGCCAGAAGAGCCCACCCTGGCCACCCTAAAACACTCCTTCAGAACCCCTTTATCCCTGCCCCAAAGCTCCTGGGAAATTCCCCGGCATTCCTGGGCCACTGCTGGGTTTTCTCCTGCCCCATGTGGAGTAACTACACCACCTTGTGTCTCTGTTGGGGAACTGCCTCTCCTGGGGGACAAGACGATGAGAATGCGCCCCAAAACAGACTGAAGTTCAGGACCCCTGCCTGAAATCCCAGCCCCCACCATTGACCCCAGCCCCAGGAGTCTGGGTCAGGTGGACCGGGGCAGGGGCGTGTGACCGAGAGAAGAGGGGCAGACAGACTAATGCTAGGGTCAGGGGTCCATTCTCTCCTAGGGACAAACCTACCTGAGGTCCCACCACTCCTGGAGGACCAGGGGGGCCGGTCTTCCCTTGGAAACCCTAGGCGAGGAAGAGAGGAGAATGCAGTGAAAGCAGGTGTGGGCGCTGTGGGGCAGATTCCCAGGAGGAAGGATCCCAGGCAGGATCACACCGAGCCCTGGGCCCTGGGTCTGAGCAGCACCAGGGCAGGCTCCACTCTGCCAGGAGAACGTCCCTGTGGGCTTTCCAGACAGCTCTGGGGTTAAAGGGTCTGATGGAGCCCCCTGAGAATGGGTAGCCAGGAGCATCACTCACCACTTCTCCTCTTTGGCCTGGGTGTCCCGGCAGCCCGTCCTTCCCAGGGGGGCCCTGGAAGGGGTTCAGTTGTCAGGTGAACTCTCAGCTGGAAAGCAGGTAGGGAAGAAGGACTCAGAGAAGCGAGGGGGGTCAGAGCTCGGGGTCAACTTACCGGGGGTCCTTTCGGTCCAGGAAACCCGTTGGGACCCTGAGGTCCAGGGAGGCCCTAGAGACAGAGGTGGGGGGAGTCAGGAGAATGGGGGCAGGGGCTGAGTGGGGGAATTCAGCTTCCTTCCTGGGGTGAGGAGGGAGCTGGCTCACCCAGGCTCCCTGGGGACCTCAGGGGAAGGGGACTTTCGATCCACACTTACCCTCTCTCCAGGGGGCCCATGGGGGCCATCACCACCAGATGTTCCCTGTGGGGGGAAACAGAGTCAAGGAGTGGGAAGAGCTGCTTTCCAGCTGTCCCCGAGGTCAGGATGTTGAGGGAGAGCTGGGGCTGAGTGGGCAGGGGGCAGTTGGAGCCTTGTAGAGACCATTCACCTTAGCTCCAGACTTCCCAGTGGCACCTCGGGGTCCCCGCTGACCCCGTGGACCCTACAGAGGGAAGAGGAGTTGTCAGAGAAACCCAAATGCCCCCCTCTGGACCTTGAGCCACCTGTTTCTCTCCCCTGCACTCACCGTGGGGCCCCGTTCTCCCCGAGGCCCTGACTTCCCCGACAGGCCCTGGTGGGAATGAAGCAGAGAGAACATTACCCAGGGTGAGACTCCCCACAGACCCCCTCTACACCTCTCCAGCCCTTCCCTTCTCACCCCCTCCCACCCCCCAGCTTACCCGGGCTCCCTTCTCTCCACTGGCACCAGGAAAGCCAGGAAATCCTAGGGACCCCTGGTGAGAACGGAGAAGGGGGGAAATTGAGAAGTTATGAAAGGTAGGGTTCAGGAAGGGGCAAAGGGGGTCAGGAGAGGCCACAAAGGCAGTGGCCAGGGAGACCCGAGCTCTGCCAAGAACTAAGTGGCCTTGGACAAACCCCTGCTGCTCTCTGGGCCTCTTTCGGTCATCTGTAAAATGGGGGTCAGCTAAATTCCCTCTGGGGTCCCCCACTGCCCTGCATCTGTGCTTTCTGGAATCAGGGATCAGGGAAGGGAAGAGGAGGAGGGAAGAGGAGGAGGGGCACGTATGGGGCATGGCATCACCTTGGGTCCCTGACGTCCAGGATAGCCAGGCAGACCAGGAACACCCAGCTTGCCCTGTGGAGGGACAGGAAGCAGTTAGGAGTGAGAGGAGGCCCAGATGCCACTCCACCCCTGGAGACCTCAACCCTCACATATAACAGCCAGCCCCCACCCAGCAACACACCCCACACACCCCAGCCTCTAGCCCCTCATTGCTTGCCCCACAGCTGCCTGACTTTTGTTGTCTCTCCTTCCCATGAGTGGATTTTCCCCAATTCTAGTGCTGGGATCCCACCTCCCCTGCGCCTACAGAGGTATCAGGTCCTTCAGGGTCACTGTGATCTAGCTGCTTCCCACATGTCAACCTCAGCTCCATCTACCCCATGAGGGAGGTGGGATCTACCCCAGCACCCACTCCTGCTTCACCAAGACCAATCCCCCTGCAGGCCCTTTGCCCACCACACCCCGACTCCCGTGCATGCCCCCTTCCCCAGAGGCTCCAGGGCTCACCCTGCCCAGGCAGCTGCAGAGCAGGGCTTAGAAGCAGAGATTCTGAAGCCAGACTGCCTGGGCATAACCCCTGGCTCTGCCCTTCACTGGCCATGTAATCAACAAGCATCCCTGTGCCTCTGTAAAACCTCAGCAAAACAGTACGTCACATGCCTACCTCATAGGATAGATAGGACGCATCAGCACAGCACCTGGCATAGGGCAAGTGCTGGGGAGAGTCAGCTCTGGAGACCACAGACCTCACTGCTATTAGACTCTCTCATCTCAGAACTCCTGCTGCTTGGAGTCCGAACGCATGTTCACTCTGCCTTGAAGCAACAGCTACTCTCTAAGCTTCGTCTCCGTCCAACTCTTCGTGTCAGGGACTTTTCCCTGACTTCTTATATATCCCCTCTGCCCATCAGCAGCTGAGAGATGCCATTTACACAGACAGAAGTATGACTAATGCATGGCCATCTTCAACTGACTGGCTGACTTCAGCGGCGGGCACCCATGCCCATCCTGACCCCAGTGCCCACACCCCCAGAGGACCCAGGCACAGAACCCTCATCCCATCACCTTCTCGCCCATGAGCCCTGGGGGCCCAGGGTCTCCAGTCGGTCCAGTGCGTCCCTTTGGCCCCTCAGGACCATCCTCTCCCCTGGAACCAGGGACTCCAACTTCGCCCTGTGTGAGAGGGAAGGACAGGTGAGTGCTGGGGACTGGAGGTGGGCTCTGGGCCCAGAGGAGAAATGGGCAACAGTGAGGCTGAGGAGGGCTAGAGGGGTCCCAGGAGCCACTGCAGGACAGGAAGCCCACAGGGTAGGGATAGTGTAGTGATGGGAGGGCAGGCATGACACAGACCATGGGGCTATCATCCTGTAGGGGTCAGGCTCCCAAGGGAACACAGCACTGGAACTGTGGAGTCTGGAGACTCAGGAGAATAAACCGGTGCTTGGCGTCTCCAGAGTGGAGGCTCAGTAGAACACGGAATTGGGGCCAGTGTGGGGTCTCTACTCACCCTGTCACCTTTCACGCCTATGTCACCTTTGAACCCAGGAAAGCCATCCTCACCCTGAGAAAGATAGAGGTGAGAGGGCACCACAGATGACAGAGGGCTGGGGTTCTAATGGGAATTCTGAGAACATAGGTGGAAGCAGGGGCTCGGGAGCTGGACGGCAGTGCGGGGCAGGCTGGAGGGAAGGCAGTGAAGAGAGGAGATGGCAGGACTGAGGTGCTGGGAAGCTGGGGGCATGGTGCTCACCTTCTCACCCTTATGACCCTTCAGACCCCGAATTCCGTCCACACCCTAGAATTAGAGAGGGGATAGAAGTAGACTGATCAGGGGATGGAGGTGGGTTGGAAGGACCAAGCTCCTAAGACCCCATATAGCTCCCCTGACCACAGCCCTTTGTCTCCCAGCCTGGTGGTCAGTTACCTTGACCCCTCGAGGTCCTGGGTATCCTAGAGGTCCCTGAGGTCCAGAGGGACCCTGGAAGATAAAAGAGAGGCATTTATAAAGGGGCCTCAGAGTGTCACTGTGGGGGCCTCCAGGGGTGGAAGAAATGGAAGTAACAACATTGCTGTCTGGGTAGGGTTACAGGGCACAGGAATTGAGAATGTGGCAGAGCCATATGAATAATGAGACAAGGGAATCCCAAGGACTTTGAGGCTCTAGAGTCTGAGTGGAGACTACCTCAGGGGATAAAGACATGGAAGATCTCACCTGGTTTCCTTTGGTTCCAGGGGGACCTTCCTTCCCTGGGTGACCCTGGGAGTAAGGGATAGAAAATGTGACCAGTGGCCCCTGTCACCCTCTCTGCACCCCTCCCTACACTTCTTCCAACCCAAATTTCCTGTGACCTAGTGAAGCCAACTGTCCATGGACAAGCACCACCAGTGACCTTTCAGTGCAAGGGTCACTAAAGGAGCTCTGAGGTCATGCACTGGGGTGGAAGGCCAAGGGGAACTGGATTCGGAAGTGGGGTCCCACTCACCGGGGGTCCGTCTGAGCCAGGCATGCCGGGGAGCCCTGGCTTCCCTTGAGGACCCTGCAGGAAGACAAAGAGGCTCAGGGTCACTAGAGGGGTCATGTCTGGACACAGACAAAATCCCAGCAGACATTTAGGGTTCTCCCTACATCCCCACTCTAAACCCCCTGTCCTCCAAATCACTTAGTCACTTACCTTCTCTCCATGAGGGCCGATGGCACCCTGGGGCCCGGGAAGACCCTACATACAGGGAAAGAGAAGTCACAGGGGCCTCCCAGGGTCTCTTCTATCCAGCCTCCCGGATTCAAAGCATGAGCAACAAGGGCCTGAAACCCTTAATTTCCTGTATCCTTCCAGGGTCTCACCCATTGTGGAAGCCCAAGGGAAGTCATGAAAATTGGGGAACGGAGTAGGGGCACCGCTCACCTGGGTCCCAGGGGTGCCCTGTTGTCCAGGAGGTCCTGGCTCTCCCTGGGGTCCCTAGAAACAGGTGACCAGGCACAGGTCAGAAGGAGATGGAGATAGAACACATTTAGAGCATGGAGCTGAGTCCCAGCAGCGATAGCCAAGAAGGCAAGAGCAGGAAGCAGGCAGGGGTCAAAATGGAGGCCAACAGGATGCTGGCAGGGACCTCGGGGGATAAGAATGGGGGTGGGATCTCCTATCCATCACTCACCAAGCTCCCTTTGGGGCCCTGGGGACCATCCATGCCTCGGACGCCCTGAAACACAAGATGGGTGTGAGCAGCCTGAAGGTGGCCCGGAGGGACCTGTGGTTTTCAGAGGCCCGGCCATTCCCGAGGGTGTGACGGTCAGACCTCCAATCCATCCCAAACCCAAGCAAACACAGCTGGCCCAGGCCTGCAGTGTGTGGGACTGTGGATCTGTGGGCTTGTGGGCTTTGGTTTTGTTTTTCTTGAAGATTTATTTCCTATGCCCAGAGCCCTCGGGGCACCACGCCACATGGCCCTCCCTGTGCACGGGGAGCGAATGCTGAGGCAGGGCAGTGTGGGGCCAGAGCAGGGGGAGCTCACAGGGAATGGGAAGCATGCCGAGAGAGGAGAGGGAGCAGGAAGGCAGCTAGAAAGGTGGAGAGTTGGAGAGGTCAAGGGGTCACCTCAGGGTCAGAAGTCAGGGAGTCACTTACAGGGGGTCCAGGAATACCAGGTGGGCCTTTGGGGCCAAGGAGACCTCGAGGTCCCTGCATTCACGGTGAGGGGAGGAGACGGCATGAATGGATAAAACTGTGTCCCTTTAGTGCTCATGTCCCCCTCCTGGCTTCCCCAGAGCCCCCTCCCCCAGCACCAGCCCTTGGACACTCACCGACTCTCCAGGCAGCCCTCGAGGCCCAATCTCCCCGTCATCTCCCTGGAGGAGGAGGACACGGTAAAGCTGCTGTGCCTTCTAGACCTCCCCTGCACCCAGCCCCTACATTTGCCACTACACTTACCCTCTCTCCATCCTCACCAGGGGGACCAGGAAGGCCCTGGGCACCAGTATCACCCTGCAAAATGGGGGAACTCATAAGAGGGGCTTCAGAGCCCCCAACACAGGCAGACACCGAACCTCTGCACTTAGCCCATCCATTACTTTCACTGAGCTCCTGCCAAGCCTCCAGCCTCCCTTCCCTACCTATCCTCACTCCCATAGAAGATCTATCCCCAATTACAACACACACCCACTAATGTACTCACCCTATGGCCCTTCTCTCCAGGGAGCCCTGGGAGTCCATCAAAACCTCGGTCACCCTAGGAGGAGGAAGGATAGCCAGAGTGAGGACACGACCCTGTCCAAGCCCACCCCTCCCTACTGCACCCTGAGCTGGGGGGGTGCTGATCCTGGGGAAGCCTGGAGAACTAGGTCATCCCCAAGAAACAACTGAGCCCAGCGTGGGCTGAAGGCTACAGGCTTCAGGGAGGGGCCCAAGCCTGTTACCTTCACTCCAGGATCTCCAGGCATCCCTCGGGCTCCATCAGCACCTGCCCGGCCCTGGGAGAACAAGGGAAGTGTCAGAACAAGCAGGGCCGCAGTCCCCTACCCTGCAGGCCCTGTCTCCCCACAACACCCATCCACCCCTGGGGCACTCACCCTTCGCCCAGCCTTGCCAGGAGGGCCTGTGAGGCCCTGAGGTCCTCTGGGGCCCTGGTGAGAGGAGAGATGGGGTGGGGTTAGGAGGCATAGGGAGGGGAGTGAGGGAGACTGAGCTGGTGAACAGATATGGGGGTGCAGTGGAGGAAAGTGGTCACCTGAGGTCCTAAGTCTCCAGACTCTCCTTTCAGGCCAGGGCTCCCAGGTTGGCCCTGGGAGAGAGAAGAGAGGATGGCCGTAAGGAAGGACACAGCCAACAGTGGCCTCGGAGTGTTCCCCAAAAGAAGCCCCTTTCCAGAACTATCCACACCCCACACACAATTAAAGCATCCTCCACCCGAGCACCCTGCTCACTCACCAAGGGTCCAGGGCGCCCTGTGTATCCCATGGGGCCAGGGGGTCCACGGAGCGCCAGCTAGGGGAGCAGGGGGACAGCAGAGCTGAGGGACAGGCAGTGGGAACCCCCAGCCCCAGCACTCTCCAAATTCACCCTTCCTCTCCTGATCCTCATCCACTGCCCAGGATTCTCCCCAACCTCCCTGTTAACCCCAAACCAACCCAGGCCTCCCCTGCCGCACACTCACTCCAGCCAACCCTTCCAGTGCCCCCCAGAGCCTTCCCTTTCCAGGGAAGCAGCCCCACTCACCCTCGCCTGCTGCAGGATCGCCTGGGCCTGAGCCTCCTGGGCCGCCACCACAGGGCCCTTGTCACCCCCACCACTGCCAAACCGGAACTGAGGGCAAGGAGAGAAGGTCCAGGTTCTCTTCCAAGAAAGCCATGGGACCCTCCCAGCCAGAGGCTTTCTCCAGCGTTTCTGCCCCTTGCCCCAGGTTCTGCCCATCCAGCATTTCCCATGGCTTCCAGATAATCACTTAGAGGATTCCAGAAACTCAACTCCTGCCCTCCTCCACTGTCCAGCCTCTGCCTCCAGAAAGACTCTCTTTTGGTTCTAGAGCTCCTGAAATATAGGCTGTTCTGCCCAGTCCTAGAAGACTGGTGTTTTGTTCTAGGTCACCTAATGAGGCCCCATCTCCCCAACCCCAAAGACGAATCCCTTTGGAGTGATGATCTTTGATGATCTTTAGAGACTCCTCCATATCTTTCCTGCCCATCTGGTTCTTGGTAACATGACACAATTCCTTGTCTTCCCCATCAGCATGTTCCAAAACCCAAGAGACAACTCACTGGGAGCATGAGAGATGTGCCAGGAGGACCAGGAGCCCCATCTGATCCAGGGAGCCCTGCTCGGCCAGGGGGGCCCTGGAGTGGGAAGAGAATGCAAAAGATGGGGTGAAAGATAAGGGGACATCAAGATCTTAGCATGATTTTGAAATATCCTCTTCAACAGAATAAGTGTAGATTGCTCTAGCTCTTTCCTGAGTCTCCCACCCCCATGGGGAAAATTGAGGGTGAGAAACCAGATCAGCACCCTCCCCAACCAGAGTCTGCCCTCCTTTCTGGTTGCTGGGAAGCACAACCATCCCCTCATTCATTAACAAGCCACCTAACAGGAAATTACTGGGCATGGTAGCCCCCCGCTTGGATACCACTAGCTCCCCCGAAGCTCCCCCGTCACATGGAGGACACCCCCTTACCCTCTCTCCAGGGTCTCCAACTGGGCCTGGGTTCCCCTGGATGCCAGGGGGACCAATCAATCCCTGAGGAACAAAAGAGTAGGGGTCAGGTGTGGGCATTCAGACAGGTGTGGACACTCAGCCTGTGGCTGAGGAGTGGTCTGTGCAGAACAGATCTGGGAATCTGGGAAGCGTTGATTGGAGGGATGCTCCCGAGTTCTGAGGAGGAGGCCTGGGCATATGTGGGGAAGGCTCAGATGAGCACATAGAAGGGGTTTCTAAGAAAAGAATGGCCACCAGGTCACTGCTAGACTTACCGCAGGGCCTTCTGGGCCAGGGGGCCCCTCCACGAGCATACCCTGTGGAGTCAAAGGTTAAAAATCAGAGGCGACAGGACCAGCACACTCAACCCCACTTGCTTCTCCTATTTCCACTGCCTCAGCCCTGTGACCAGCATAACTTACAGGTTCCAACACTGCAGGCTCTCCTTTCTCTCCCTTCAGCCCTCGGGGTCCATGGGCAGCCTGAAGGAGACACACATGTAGCCCCCAGTGGGGCCCGTGAGCAGCCAGGACACTAGGCCTTTCTCCATCTCAACTCCAACCTTGATTCTTAGATCCTCTCGAGACCACTTCAGCCCTACCCGAAAGCCCCACAGCCCTCCCCTAAAACTCCCTCTTCACAAACCTTTCAAGCCTGCCAAGGAGACCTCAGGGTTCCCTGCCCCCCAGTTCCCAGCCCCACCTCAGCAAACACAACCTCTCCATCTCCCTGAGAGCCTCTTTCAGGAAGGTCCCCAGAAACTTCCAGTGTTTTTGTTTGTTTGTTTGTTTTTCTTTTTTTTTGAGACGAAGTCTTGCTCTGTCACCCAGGCTGAAGTATAATGGCGCGATCTCGGCTCACTACAACCTCTGCCTTCCAGGTTCAAGTGATTCTCCTGCCTCAGCCTCCCAAGTAGCTGGGATTACACTGGGATTACAGATGTGCACCACCATGCCCGGCTAATTTTTGTATTTTTATTAGAGATGGGGTTTCACCGTGTTGGCCAGGCTGGTCTCAAAATCCTGACCTCAGGTGATCCGCCTGCCTTGGCCTCCTAAAGTGCTGGAATTACAGGCGTGAGCCACCACACCTGGCCCCTTTCAGGGATTTTAAACCACCCACCTTCCCAAACCCTCTTCTAGAGGACCCTATCCCATCTCCCAAACTCCCTCCCTAGAACCTTAAGAAACCTTCCACACATTTACCCCAATACATCATAAAAGAATCTCTCTAAGATTGTGGGTAGATTTTTATTTGGGGTAAGAGGAGGGCATGGACCCACATGAGAACCTGATAAAAGCTAGGCCGGGCGAGGTGGCTTACGCCCATAATCCCAGCACTTTGGGAGGCGGAGGCAGGCAGATCACCTGAGGTCAGGAGTTTGAGACCAGCCTGACCAACATGGTGCAACCCCGTCTCTAATAAAAATACAAAATTAGCTGGGTGTGGTGGCACATGCCTGTAATCCCAGCTACTTGGGAGGCTGAAGCAGGAGAATAGCTTGAACCCAGGAGGTGGAGGTTGAAGTGAACCAAGATTATGCCATCGTACTCCAGCCTAGGCAACAAGAGCAAAACTCCATCTCAAAGAAAAAAAAGAATCTGATGAAAGCTGTGAGTCTTTCTCCAGAAATGAAAAAGTATATGCTATTATGCACAGAATTTTATTTAGGATTTCAAAGGGTTCACAAGTTTAAATATGCCCCAAAGGTTAAGCATCCATACTCTAAGTAAATTTGGAGGCCAGGCACGGTGGCGCACGCCTGTAATCCCAGCACTTTGTGGGGCCGAAACAGGCAGCTCATTTGAGGTCAGTAGTTTGAGACCAGCCTGGCCAACATGTGAAACCCCGTCTCTACTAAAAATACAAAAAATAGCCGGGCGCAGTGGCACATGCCTGTAACCCCAGCTACTCGGGAGGCTGAGGCAGGAGGATCGCTTGAACCCAGGAGGCAGAGGTTGCAGTAAGCCAAGATCCTGCCACTGCACTCCAACCTGGGTGACAGAGTGAGACCCTGCCTCAAAAAAAAAAAAAATTGGAGAGCAGTCCCCACTGAATGCATTGCCCTTCCTCTGGCCCTCAAGTACATTCCAAGCCCACCAGTTCCCTCCCTTGCACACCTCCACTCAGATACCTGTTCCCAACTCTAGGGCCAGAAACAAAATAAGAACATGGAGAATGGGAGACATTCACCACCACCCCAACTCCCCCCAACAAAGATCTTCAGAATGCCCCTCTCCACCTTCATTCTGACCAAACAGCAATGATCCGTTTCAAAATTCTCTGAAATCCCATATCAACCCCAAATACCCAGAGAGCAGCATAAAGGAAAGGCAGTAGAAGCTCAAGGGAGGCAAGAGAGGGGAGGTATGGGATGCGGCAGCAGGGTAGAGGAGGCAGCCAGAACTGCAAGGCAGGCAGAAGACGGAGCGGAGTAGACAGGAAGCAGTCCCACTGACAGGGAATACTGGAAGATATGAGAACAACTAAGGGACACAGAACAAAATGACAAACACTTGGAAGCAAGAATGATGCCAGGGCCGAAGAAAATTAAACATGGCCAACATGGCTAGAAAACAAACTGGACAAACAGGAAGTGGCTGAACAGACAGGAAGCAGTGAAGGAAAGAGGATCCAGGAAGTGAACCTTCAACAACAACATGGCTACCGTGACCCAGAGAGAAAAGAAAGGCACAAAACAGGTAGAATGTGACTCCTGCAAAGGGAATCATGACAGTGAAGGGTAATTCTTCCAGAAAACACAAACATCAAGGCTAGGACACACAGGAAGTAGCCATGAGAAATATCGAGGCCCACAATGGAAACTTTATGATTTAAATGACCTGAGACATACAGGAAGTGGCTTATTGTCAAAGGAAATTGTCACAAGATAGCATGAAAAACTAGAGCCAGAACAGAAATAATAAATCCTTTGCAGTCCAACCTGACACAGTTACCAAGATGGATGCCACAGCTGGAGAAGGCAGGAAGGGACAGATAATAAGTGGCCTGTAGGTTAAAAAAAGGTGACATAGGAAGTTAGATCGTTTGGTAGAAACATGAACAAAAAATTATTTCACCAAGAAGAAATGATAGAGAAACACTGAAAATGGACACAAGGTAGTAGTTTATTGACCAAAAGCTTTATGAAATCCAGCTTCAGTTAGACAGGAAGTGATCAAGAAAGACAGGAAGTGGCTACATATTTTTTTTTTTTAATTCCCAATTGCCCTGAGCTTCAGAAGTATCCACAAGAGTCACAAGGTAAGACATTTGGCAAAGGAAGGCAGGTAGTAATCTTTTCAAGCAACATATACATCATATGTGAACAGAAAATGACAAGTCACAGATGGGAAATAGCTCACAGCCAACAGCCAAGGATCGAAACCAACAAGAAGCAATTCTTGTAGCTCACACTGGTAGTCAAGAATGAAAGAGAAGCTCCTTTCACTTACGGCTCCTGAGTGGGCTGTCTCCGCAGAGAGGGCAGGGCCAAGCTCTGTCTCCTCACGATAATCATCCCCATAGCCATAGGTGTAATCGTAGGGCCCTTCAGGGGGGTCTGTGCCACCCTCCCCATATTCCTCTGCCTGGAACCTGTCGGCTGTGGGGGGGACCTGGAGATCTGTCTGCTCCTTCCCAGGGATGGGGAGGGAGAGGGGTAGATGGGGATGTTAGGGCTGAGAGGAGGCTTACCCTGGACCCCAGGGTGTGACAACTTCTAGCCCAAAGGATTCCAAGGTTAATCAGAACTGGATTTTTTCTCCCAAGAATAGCCATGGGAGTGGTTGTATATAAATGGAAGGGCCATCAAAGGCCAAAAATGGGGAGAGATGTCCAGAAAGTGGGTCCAGTGGGAAGAAGTGGTGGATAAAATGAAGGGTGGCCAGAGGACTGGATGCAGAGTGGACAGTCCATGGACACAATGACAGACAAAGGAGTCCAGGAATGACCAAAGAGATAGGGAAGACAAAAGGTGACAACACTGGACAGAAAGTGGCTCCCGGGAACAGAAATAGGACATAGAAAGTAAGACCATTAGACACCAACATGGAGACGAAGTCACTCAGGAATCAAAGAATCATGGAAGGAGGCCTGGATACTGAAGGGAACGGGCTGGACTTAGAGAGTCAAGCAGGCCCATAGTTCTAGAGTGACCCAAAGACAGAGGCCATCGATGGAAATGAGGAAGAACCCTCCGGCCAGAGGAGGGGCTGGTCCATCAAGACGTCATGGGCTGAGGGGAGTGAGTCACAGGTGCCCACTGCCCCCAGATGGGGTGAGGGTGGGGCATAGAGTTACCTCCTCAAGGGGTGGCAAGAGGCTCGACTCCAGGATTTCTTCCTCTTCACCTGGGGTGGGGTCCTGTCCCCAAGGAGAGAAGGAGAAGAGTAGCACGGGGTGGGAAGGAAGGAGAAAGGTTAGCAGAAGGGAGGCAAAGCAGCACCTGTCCCCCGAGGGCAGGGTCTGTCTGTGCTGGGGGATGGGGGAAATCTCAGATCTTGCAGCCCCTTTGGAGGGGGATAGTTTGGGGAGAGTGAACCTCCAAGGTCATAGAGGTTTGGGGGCAGAGATCTGGATGCCCCGGCTCTACCTGCCGGTAACTGCTGCCTCTGGTCCTGGGGCGGGGCCAGGCAGTGGGGGAAGCTGCCCTCCGAGCTGGGCATCGGGAAAGGGGAGGCTGCTCCCATGCTGGGTCAAAGCCTGCAGTTGGAGAGGGCCTCCGGCCTGGTGAGGGGGACGCCTGCCAGGTCATTGACCTCTTGGCAGGTGGGGTAGGCTTTCAGGGAGGGGTCCGATGCCCCCTAGGGGAAGGGGGAGGCCTGTGGTGGGGGCTCCCAGGGCGCTGCAGCAGAGAGACAGGGAGGGGGCAGGAACTAAGTAAATCCCCATAATCTAAACACACTGTGCCTCTCCCCACGGCATGGGGGAGGGGAGGAAGGTGTCCTAGGAGATGATTGCTGGGGGTGCTGGGAGAAAGGGAAGAAATGAAGGGGTCCCTTGAGTTTACCTGATAATCAGGGGTTGTCCCCGTAGTCATCACATCATAATAGGGGGGCTTGTAGTCATAGTAGAGAGACTCAGTGGGCTGGGATTGGGGGGTGGGCATAGACAGGAAGGGGATGGGGTAATTGGAAGGTGTGGGGTGAAGGGCGGGAGAGGGAGATATAAAGATGGTGTGGGAGTTGGGAAACGGGGGAGGTGTGGAGTTGGGAAACAGAGAGTTGAAGATGAAAGGAGAGGTTGAGGGTCAGGAGGGAGGTGGGGAGAGGTGGAACAGAGGGAAGGGGTTCCACATGTGGGGCAGAAGCAGACATGATTAAGAGATTGACCCTCTGATCTTTAGACCACTGACCCCAGAGCCTATCTGTATTCTAACTCTCCAGACCCCATCCAACCCAGGCTCCCTTCCCTTCCCTTCCCTTCCCTTCCCCCTACTACCTCCCCTTTTCCTGCCCCTCCAGGTAGGTGGGGGCCAGAGACTGGGTTCCCCACTCCCACACTTCTGCAGACCCACCCCTCCTTTGATATTCCCTCCATCCCTACTCCTTCCCATTCCTCCTCCTTGGTCTCACCATCCCGACTGCTTTCTCCTGGCTTCAGTCCCCTCTCCTACCTGCCTCCCCAGCTCTCACCCCTCTCCCACTGTCTCCCAATCTCTTAATTCAAAGAAGGAAGGGAAAACCCAGGGACACAGTTCCAGGAAGACTGGAAGAGGAGACGCAGAGCAGGGAACACAGCTCCCAGCCACAAATTCTTCATAACAACTCTTTTTATTTTTAGATGAAAATAAAAAGGCTGATGAATGAGGACTAGGAGGAGGGGGTGATGGGAATAGGGAGATGAGGGTGGGGAGGACAACTAAGGAGGAGAGATGCCTGGGTGTCTTCCCTCTCTGGGGTGTGCTGCACTTGGGGGTTCTCCCAGCTCCCTCACCTGGCTCTGGGGTTCCTGATTTTGTGGCCTGTGAAGTCTTGATGGTTGCTGCTGTGGAGATCTCTGGGCTCTGTGAGGCTGTTGGTTTTGGGGTCTTTCCCTCTGGCCCCCCTCGCATTCCAGCTCCTTCTGTTCACATGATTCATAGGCTGCCTGGACCCCTGGGACAATGGCCAGCTCCTGGACATCACCCTGCAAAGACATGAGAGAGATGGAGCGGAGAGATTCAGAGAGAGGCAGAGGGTATCATCCGGGAGAAAGAGTATAGGAGGCCAATCCTAGGTAAAACCCTAAGATGGGAGAAGGTCACTGTCAGTCCTCCATATGCATAGCCCTTTTCAGTTTTCAAGGGATCTCATAGGACCTTCATAACAACCAGGAAAGTTGGCAGAACAAGGATCTTTCTTTCTACCCATTTTTCAGATACGTTCCATTCAGAAAAGCCCAAAAAGGCAATGACTGCCCCAAGGTCACCCAGAGTGGCAGAATCAGGACCAGATCCCAGGCCTTCCAGAATTCTTTGCCTCCCCTCTGCGCTTTGTGGCAATGCATGAGCCCTTCCACAGTGGCTTCCAGAGACAGGGCTCAGCTTTAGATGCCTTGGCCTTCCAATGGCAGTGATGATGAGAATTCTCTGGACCTCTAGAAATGGAGTGGGGAGAACCCATTCCTGAGTTCCAATGGCATTTACTTTTGCCCACACATGGTGCTTAGCATACTCTCCATTGCACCGTAATTTAGGGATGTTGTCTCATTTCCAGAGCCCACCTGGGAGCTCTTGGGGGTGATAGAGACTTTATATTCTCTTCTTTGTTCTCCTTGTCCAGCAGGTATTCAGAAAATGTTGACTGGCTTGGAGGGTGAATGGAGGGATGGGTGAATGGAGGGATGGATGAATGGATAGATGAGTGGATGGGTGGCTGGGGGCTTACATGCATTAATGAATGGGAGCATTGATAAATAGTGAATGAATAAATGTACGTATGGGAGGGTGGACTGGTGGGCAGATGAACAGGGGTTACAGAGTAGATGGAAGCAAATGGGTGAATAGGTAGATGGGTGAACTTATGTGGGTGAATGACTGGTCGGATGGGAAGTAAGTGGGTCAGGAGATGGGTGAGTGAGTATATTGAAGGAGGGAGTGGTTGAGTTGGTGGAAGGATAATGGATAGATGGTGGCTGAATGGATGCATGCATCCTTGTGTGCATGGGTAGATGGGGAGGGTGGGTGGGTGAGTGAATAGCTGGATGGAGGAGTTGAAGAGGATAGATGGGTGGAAGCATAGATGGGTGGTTTGAAGGGGAGAGTGGTTAAGCAGGGGGAGGATTGACAGGTGGGTGGATATAAGCCTTCATGCATGACTAGGTGGGCGTGTGATGCATAGATGAGTAAATAGATGGGGGAGTGGGTGGTGGATGTGTGCATAGGTTGGCTGAGGAGTGAGTGAATTGATGGGTGGGTGAGGAGAGAGAGGGGTTGAAAGGATGGATGGATGAGGGAACTGATGAAGACTGAAGGACAGAGTAAGTGGCTGTGGACAGTCCTGCCATATAGGTAGGCATCTAGTTCTCCTGCAGAGAACAGTAGCCCTGAAGATAGAAAATAGAAATGAAAATTCATAAGAAAAAAAAATGAAGGCCTAGGGAATAGGAAGATGACATGCTGGGGCCAGAAGGGTAGTGGGCACAAGATAGGGGACCAGAAGTCAATCCTGCCTCTGATTGCTCTGGTTACCTCAAAGACTTCTTCATCCAGAATACGGGCACCAAAGATGATCACTCCATGGGTGTCCAATACTGGACGAGCACTTCGGGGGAGAGGCCGGGTGACTCGCTTCTTGCAGTCAACAATGAGGGTGACAGACTGGCCCTTCACAGCCACAGCCACACGGTGCCACCTGGAAATGGTGGAAGAGGTTCAAGTGAACTCTTGGCTGACTGAAGTAGGGGAGTCAACATGGTTGGAGAGCAGTGATAAGAGTTGAAGCCAATGGTGATAAGAGCAGTAATAACAATGGCTACCATTTATTGAGTGTTTACAGTGCACCAGACACCATGCCGTCACTTTCTTATTTGTGCCAATTCTATTTAATGTCTATTTTACAGATGTAGAAACTGAGGCTCAAAAATTTTAAGTAACTTGCCCAAGGTACAGGCTAGTTCAACATGCAGAGAAGGCTGTACACTCTAAAGCCCAAACTCTGGACTAGAAGTGACTGAAGTTTGGGCAGTGGGTAGGTGTGGTGTGGCCCAAAGGGTCTCAAGGGTTTCACAGTTTAGAGTGTAGGGGTTTGGGGGCACTTCCTCCTGAAAGTGTGGGCCAGGCAGACCAGAGGAGCAAACAAACTTACTTGCCATCTGCTAGGCTGAGGCCTCGGAAGACTGGCTGAGAGGGAGGTTGAGGCCGCCCAGTCTGGTCTTCATACAGGAAGCGGACAGGTCGGCCCAGCTCCAGGCCCAGCTGTCGGACACCCTGGGCACTGTAGAGAGTCAGGAGGGGAGCTTGGAGACCAGGGCGGGTCCGGACAACAGTCAGCAGAGAGAAATCTTTGGGAAATCCTCCTAGTAACCGAGAGAGATACACACAGAGTGAGAGGCAAAGGGAGCCGCCACAACCCCTTTCCTCCTGGTGTCTGATCCTAGGCCCCATCCCATTACCTCCCCCCAGGCCTACCCCACCATGTCACCCATACCTGGGAAAAGCTGGCGAGTGGGTGCACTGAGCTGGGCAGGTCGTGCCACTCGGTAGGCCACATCAGCTGGACAGATGCCTTTCGCTCTCCGGACACCATCAGGGAGGGAGGGGAACCTCAGGGCCCGGAGCACATCCACAGGGGGTGCACCTGGGAGAGTCCATGATTATCAGGAGAAGGGACATGCCCTCAGGAGGGCATAAATAGGGGACATTTGGGATCTAGAACTCAGCTTTCCAGGGCTCAAACTCCCTGCAAGGGAAAGGTCACCTCACCCTCACTTGCTTCTGAACAGTACCTGAATGGATGGGAAATGCAAAGGTACCTGGAGGCAGGGCAGCATCAGCTGGCATTCAACCCCATGACACTCCTGCCCCTGTCTCTCCTAGCATCTGCCTCTCTTACGCTCTCTCTTTGTCTTTTAGCTTATGAATCTGTCTCTCTCTGTACTCTCTGAATACTTCTCTCAACTCTTCATCTGTCTCCTGTCTCTCTCACTCTCTTACTCTCTCTGTCTCTTTATGTTGGTCTTTCTGTCTCTGTCTCTTCTGTCTTCCTCCATTTCTCTCACATTCTGTCCATCTTTTTCTCTCCCTCGCTCTCACTCTCTTTCCATATCTCTCACTCTCTGGGTCTCTGGCATCTGTCCCGTCTCCAGCACAAACAACATCTGGGCAATCGATCATCCTGGACACAGGAGGTGCAGGGGGGCCACGAGGAAGAGATCAGAGAAGCAGCTCTATGAGAGGGGCTTCAAGCAGCTACAGATCCCAGGTTTGGGGGATGGGGTGGGAACAACCCTGAGCATGCTGAGGAAAAAGATACAAGAAAGCTCTCCCAGGAGTCTGTGCCTCCTGGTTTAGGAGATGAGTTGGGGAGGGGTGGAGGAATGGGGGGCAGGGGCTGAAGCTGCCACGAGGATCCGGAACAGGTCCAGGGCCCTGAGCCACACATCTGTGGATCCCATCAGAGTGCTTGCCCAGAACCCAGGCAAGCTCCCCACACCTGGAACCTCAATCCTGTCTCACCACCCCCACCAACCCCACCACCTGGGACCCAAAGATTCAAGATCCAGCCCACCAGCCCTGTCTACCTAGAACTCAGCTTCCTAGGGCTCAAACTCCCTGGAAAACAAAAGATCACCTTGCCCTCACTTGCTCCCCTATACACATACTCTTCACACCATCAGCTCCAGATTGGAAAAATCCCAAAGAGAGTTCCAGCAAAACTTTCATAGAAGTGTGGGGCAGGGCAGAGGCCAGAGCAATCAGGAGAGTGGAGCTGGGTGGGGTGGGTGAGGTGGGGCGGGCAGGCAGAGAAAAGGCCCTTTGAGTCCAGGAGCCGGGAAACCACGGCCTTCCCCCCCAACCCCCACCTAAGCCTGGCCCCTGCGCGTGTGGCAGCTCCGCAAACACCAACACACAAGGGCCGCTTTGAGAGACGAAGGGTGAGTGAGACAGAGACACAGAGACTCACAGAGACCCCAGGCCAAGGAGACCTCGGAGGTCCCCACCCTCCACCAAATCCCAAGGGAGTACAATTCGATCATATGGACAACCTACCCACAGGTCCGCCCACCATCTTCCCACACCAGGCCACATACTTGCCCCCCTGTATCCAGCCTCATCTGCCCCACAGGCTCTCCACTGGTAGCCCCATTACCCTCCACCACTCTACCTCTGGCCCCCCAAATGCCTTATTCTCTAACCTTAGGAATTCTACAGTAACTCATTTCCCTAAAGTCCCATCTCTACCCACTCAGCCCCTGAAATAAGAAACAGTCATCTTAGCCATCCCCCTGCCTCCATGCCAGAGAATCCCTCTTCCCCCTAAGAAAGACTCCTAGAGTCTACAGGCACCATACGCCTCAATTTCCTGGCCCTGGGCTTCACTGTCCTCACATCTTGGAAGTTCTTCCTTCTGTAATCTAATCTAAATCTTTTGTGCTGCCATTCTGACCATTTTCTCTCTAAAGCAGAGAAGAATTGAATAGTCAAGTTAAATATAAATCAGCCCTCAGTGTCTCCAGAAATGGGCTTTTTCCAGCCTGCTGAGGACCTGGTGCTCACAGCCCCCTCCTTGACATCAAATCCCCTTTCCTAGAAGCCAGGAATTCTGGGTCCTGGGAAAAAGAAGGAAAAGATCAGGGTTGTGGGCACCAGGGTCCCAGGGGAGCCTGGCTGGCCAGAGGGAGGAGGGGCTAGGCAGGAATGCAAAGAGTTGGCTCTGGCCTCAGACACCTGATCCTGGCCTGTCCGGAGGGCCGTCCTGTTGGCAGCCAGCCCCAGTGCTCCCCAGAGCCAGCTGCGTGGCAGCATCGAGGGCACAGGGAGGGGGAGGGGGACCCTGTCCAGGAGGCCAATGAGACAGGTAGTCAAGGCTTCCTTTCTTTCTGGGCTTACTGGGCTCTGCTCTGAATCACAGGTGCTCACCCCTTATCCCAGAGATATCGACAGAAAGGCCATAAGACACACACGCCTCACCCATCAACATTGGCGTCTACCATCCCCACACCAGCAATGACTGGACCGGGCTGGCCCTGGCCATCTTCAGCTCTTCCCAAGGACTCAAGACAAGCATCCATCCCCATTCAGGGTCTCTAAAGTGGTCCTCCACCTTTCAGCCCTATCTGCCCTCCCCCAGTCACTTCAAGGACAAAGAGATTCCTACCCTGATGCCAAGGAACACAGGTGTCCTGCCCTCCAGCCTGTAGCCTTGAAGCCCCAAATCTCCTTGTTAGACTCAGAAGCTGCTGCCCCAGGCATCAGCTGGCCCCTTCCCAGAGACACTCAGAGCTCCAGCCTGACTCCGAGGACCCAGGCATCAGGACTCCTCTTACCTGCCCAGCCTGGGGCCGCGCTCAGCCCCAGCACCAGAGGTAGGAGGAGGAGGAGGCGATGGCAGCGGCTGCACCGCTCCATGGCTGAGAAGCCGAAACGCCGGGTCCCAGGGACCCAGGTCGGCCTGAGACGCTGGATGCCCTGAGGCTGACAGAAGACAGGGAGCAGACTATGAGCCTCAGACGCCGGGGTCCCAGGGAGGTCAGAGGCTGCGGGCAGCGACAGCTGTCAGCGGCCCAGCTCCATGCAGCAAGGCGCCGTCGGGGCTCCCGGCACTGCTCCCTCCTCGGTGGCTGCCGCTTCTGTGTGTCCCCGGCCACCCTGGCGCCCAGAGCCCCCACCTCGCCCCCGCCCCCGGCCCGGCCCCCGCCTCCAGCCGCCCGCCCACAGCCACCGAAGGGAAACCCCACCCTCAGTCTCCACCTGGGGAGGGAGGCGGGAACCCTCCCTCTATCGCTCGCTCTCTCCTGCCCCTTGTAGGTCTCAACGGCCTGTACCCTAAGATTCTCTTTTCGGGAACCCCAATATCTTCCCTAGCCCCTTCCTTTTCTAGGACCCAAACGTCCAGTCACACACACTCCCTCCCATTCCCTCCCTCTTGGGGGCCCAGAGCCCCCTTTCAGCAGAGGCCTGGGCGGGATTTAGGGCACAGTGGGAGGGGGAGAGGCGGGCCTGGGGGTCGCAGTCCCCACCCCACCCATAATCAGGTCTCCATAATTACTTCCCTCACCCCGCCCCGTGTAATTACAGAGCCGGGCCGGGGCGGGGGTATTTATAGACAAGGCTATAGATAGCGACGAACTGGGGCGGGGGATGTGGGGGAAGGTGTTCTACGGAGAGCAAGAGGCCAGAGACTGGGACCCACCGACAAACACAGGATAGTCAGGTCCAAGGAGATGCAAATGGGGGACGCGGTTAGGGAGTCCCAGAGCCGAGGTAGAGGGGGAGCAGTGGTAAGATGAGCGAGCATTCGACTCTGGTTGGAAGGGTCCAGGGAAATGGGGTCACTCGGGGACGTGGGCCGCCTCCGGGCGGGCAACGCCTGAGAAGCACGCAGCGCTCGGCGCCCAGTGCGCCCCCACGAGCGGGCACGGCGCCGGGTCTGCCCGGAGCCCGCAGCGCGCCCGGAGGGAAGGCCGCAGCGAGCCGAGGCGCCGCCGCCCGCTGGCGCGGAGAGGGCACGAGCGAACAAGGCGCCTTTGAGAATCCACCGCCCCCCCTTCCTCCTCCGGCCGGCCCCGCCCCCAGCCTGGCACACCCTCTCCCCCCCTCCCCGACAAAGCTTGCCTTGTGTCCCCCACCCTGCGTGCACCTCTTGGGCCCCATGGAACCTCGGCGGCGGCGTCCAGGGATCGCGTCCGGAGCTCCCAACCGGATACCCCCCCCAAGCCCGAAACGGCGCTGCCCATCCTCATACAGTCACCTCAGTCCAGAAAACAGCGATTTTAATTTGAAAGCGATTTTATGTATGAGAGGGGAAAGGAGCCCCAAAGAGAAGGGACGCAGGGCAAAAATCATGCAGCCCCAGCACCCCACCTCTGCGGGCTGGCCACCTCCCCTCAATTCTCAGGCCAGGATCCTGTGTCCCCAGCCTATGCTATGTGCCCAGGGCTGGAGGAGAGCTGTAAAGGGAAGGCCTCCGGGACTACACTCGTGAAACCATCCCCTGTGGGGGCCCTGTCCTCACAGCCCAGGCCCCTTCCCCAAGTTAGACAGGAAGAGATGGGGGGGGCGGCGGGAAGCTGGGAAGGCTAGTGCTTGGAGAGCCCTAGGGACAGGCCATTTCAGGGCCCTGCCTTTCCCAAACACCCACCTCCACCACTGGCATTTCTTAGTCAACCTGGGAAAGTACAGTACTTCTTTGAGTCTAACTGCAAGTCTCTATCCTCACAGGAAATTAAAAATAGCAGATCGGTTCCTACATCTCCACCAGCCCCTTCACCACCACCACCACCTTTTTTATATTTCAGTCTGACTGCAGAAGGAGGTGAAGTGTAAAAAGAGACTCTGGACAGTGACAGGGCCCCTCCCTCTTCCAGAGAGGCCCCCATCTGCCAGGTTTGAGAGGAGGAAGGCCTGTCAGGGCCCTACTCTCATGTCCATCAGCTTGGGAGGCCTGCCCCCCAGTATCCACCTCTGGGGGAGATCCCCATTTCCACTCTTCAGATGGGAAGCAAAATGAGGCAAGATGAGAAGGAAGCAAGGTCCTGGAGGCAAGGCCAGTGCTTTGTGCTGGGGGAAGGACAGAGGGTGAGAAATCACCCCAAATCATGGGAGACCCCGACAAATTCAGAGACTCAAGGCCACCGAAGAGAGACAACCAGTCCTCACAGGTATCTGGGGTCCCTTCCAACTTGGGATATCAAGCAGATCCCTTGGAGGGTTTATGTTCTTGGTTCTGCCCTGTACTTCTCACCCCATCAAGGTTCTGGGAACATGGCCCCCCACCCTGCCCCAGGGCTTGGAGTCCCTCTTGGATGTGTGCTCCTCCAGTGTGAGAAGCACCACGTCTGGGTCTGAGCTCAGGCCAGTTGATGGGGAGCCTCAAGCATCTCCATGAGGAAGGTGTCGATGGGGGTGTCACCAATGAGCTTGAAGAAAAACAGATGCTCTAGACACTTAAGGCCAATGGACCGGAGGGCAGGAAGACGTAGCAGCAGCTTGGCAAACCTGGGGTGGAGGTGGGAGAAGGGGATTGAGAGCTGGAAGCACACGGGCCCTGAACACATCCTCATAGCACTCCCCACCCCCAAGGGAGCCTCAGTGCCCCCCAGCCCCATCTCACCGTCCCTGCTGCTCAGGGTACTTCTGTTTGCAGTAGGTCTCCAGTGATGCATACACTTTCTCCCGCAGGACCTCCACCTCACTAGGGTTGGAGAGGCCCTTGGCATCTGGGATGGCAGGGAAGAGAGGAGGAAGAGAAATGAAGACAAACCAAATCAGGATGGCCATGCAGATGTGAGCCACAGGATGCCCCTTTTGGGCTGCACTTGCTTGCCCTTTACCAGAGGCCTGGCAAGGGAAGCAGGGCCCACTGGGTTTGTGGGATGGATCCGTGGATGTGGGTTTTTCCTCGGCCAGTTGGGAGATTTCCAGGTTGAGGGTCTTACTGAGGGGGATAGCTGGGTAACTTAGGAGTCTCGGAGAAGAGGAGGCTCCAAGGTTGCCTTGGCCTTGAGAGACAAAGGTAATCCTCCTCTTACCTGGATTAAACAGAATGATTGCCCTCAGGCAGCCAAGCTCTGTCTTGTCCATCCTCATGTCACGCATTTTGGACACTAGCTCTGTCAGCACCCTGGAGAGGGACCTGCAGGTCACTCAAAGGTCACAGCTCAGCCAGCCTTGGACACGGACCAGCCTATAGCCCCACCCCCTCTATCTACATGCCAGCCTAGCCGAGGGCCACTGACCGATCAAAGATGGCTCCTACTCCTGCTGAATGGGCTGAGTTGCGGTGCACGTGAAGACCTGTGGCAAGGAGGATGCCATCTCGAACATCAATGGATCGGTGTGAAAAGGAGGCAATGAGGAGTTCATTCCAGCCTGGGTGGGGCAGCAAGGGTCAGGAGCCAGAAATCAGGCCAAGGGATTCAAAGCACATCAGTGGAAGAGAAGGAGAAAAGAGGTGGCGAGGTCAGCAAGTTTGGCTCCCTGGGTACGCAAGGTAAGGCCACTGGGGTCACTAAAGATCGGGAAGTCAAAGGGGTCAAATGTCAAGAAGTCAAAGGGATCCAAGGTCACTGACCTGCCCGCAGCAATATGACCTGATCATCCAGAGGCAAGGAGGAAAAGTGTGGGATCCTCTTCGCCCACTCAACAAGCGTGAATAGCTGTTTGTCAGCTGCCTGACAGATGTTAGTCACAGGGTCATTTGGCTGCAGGGGACGGGGGTAAGAGTTATGGAAGATTTTGAGATATGCTGGGAGCCCCCTTGTAAGAGGCTTTTGACACCCCCTCCTTACATATAGTCTTCCTGTGAGCCCCATCCAAACCAATCCCTGTAAGTGAGTCTTCTCTTCTGGCATTAGTGCAAACAATTATTTATTTGGGACATGCCTATGGTTCTGCCAGTGGGTTGTTTGGGGAGTGGAGACAGAAGGAGCTATCACATCCACCTCAGATGTTTGAAAGACCTTGTTTGGCAGCACCTCCAGTCCCAAGTAGTGTTAGGAAGGTTATGAGGGGAAAGGAGGGGGAGGGGATGTAGAACAGACCTAGACTGCCTCCCCCAACCCCCATCACGAAGGAGAGTGGATTGACCCCAACACTCACGCTGCTGCCGCTACCCCCGGTTCCCCCAGGACCCTCAACGCCCTGGTCACTCTTCTGTTCCACAGCAAGCTCTGCCTCCAGGATCCTGTCCACAGGCATCTCCTCGGGGGCTCCCCCAGCCCCCTCCCCATCCCCATCCTTGTCCTTTCCCCGCTGACGCTCCTCCTGTACCGCTGCAGGGGGAAGGGGGAGAGAAAAAATGGAAAGTCAGCAGCCAGCCATGAAGGGGTTCCACAAATATCCTTACGGCCTCATCAGGATCTCATGGCCCTTGGGAGATATTTATAGGAATTGGGGAAGTCACTAGAAAGGGTGGACTGGGGGCAGCCCTGAAGGAAGGGTTATAAAAGGGCAGGTAAGTCAGTCGGGAAGGGTGAGGTAGGTAAAAGAATTAGGGAGGAATTTAAATGGAGAGCCTACTACATGGTTAAAAAAAACATGCCAAGATTCAACCTGAGAAAGCTGATTGAAAAAAAAAATTTTTTTAAATAAAATATGCCAAGAAACATGCTAAGCACATTTTAACATTCACTCAATTATCATAATGATGCTGGAAGCATTTATTCTCATTTTTAAGATGAAGAACTCGGGGTTCAAAGAGATTAGTTTGCTTAAATTCATATAATACATGGCAGGTCATACAACTGACTCTAAGTGTGTCTGAGTGCAAATCTTGTGCTCTTCTGACTCAACAAATAGGCAGTGAAAGGAGCACTGGCCTAGGTCTTTGAAGATGTGGGTTCTGATCCCAAACCTGCCTGCCACTCCTTTGTTGCATGACCTTGGGAAAGCCAAGCCTCAGGCTCATCTTCTCTAAAGTGGGTGTTTTGACCAAGATATGCTCTAAAGTGTCTCTCAGAATCCTAGGAATCTGACTTAAGAAGATAAGATGGAGACACAGAAGAAGGAAGGGAAGCCCTGAGGTCTTCAGTAAAGTCTGTAAGCTTAAGAGTGCCCAGTCCCAGGAGTTAGAGGAAAGATCACAGATAACAGGAGACAGAGACCAGAGAAGGTCCATGGAATCAGAGGAGGAACCACTCAGGTTAGAAATGGGGAGACAGCCCATCATGGCTAAGGAAAAGTTATCCTATCCTAGGATCAGTCTAGGGAGGGGTCATATGTGCAGGCCACAGAGGCCTAACCATTAAGAAGGAAACTCAAGGGCCAGAACAGGGTAACAGGGAGGAGAGCTGCGAAGGGAGAGAGAAATCAAATATCGCCCTCTAGAGGAGAGAGAGCAGTCCACCCTTCCAGAGAGGTACACAGTCTGAGTGGGATAAGGGAGAAGGGCATGTGGTCTAAGACGCCTGGGCAGGGCGGGTCCTTACCCTCCCTCTTCATGCCAGTGGCCAGGCACTTCTGATAGCGGCAGTACTGACAGCGGTTCCGCTGGCGCTTGTCCACTGTGCAGTCTTTGTTGTCCCGGCAAGAGTATGTAAGGTCTTTGCGGATGGTGCGTTTGAAGAAGCCCTTGCAACCCTCACAGCTGTAAACCCCGTAGTGTTTGCCTACAGGGAAAGGGGAGGAGCAATAAGAAGGTTGCATGGAGACACCTTCACCATTTAGTCTGTTTCCAATCTCCCCCTAGCAAAACTTAAAGTCCTCCCTGTTTGCCAAATACAGAGATAGGGAACCAGGAGCTGAGTGATGATCCAGTCCCAGTCTCCTCACTGTTCAGAAACCCTACACGCTGCTTCCTTTTCCCTCTGACCTTCCCCCCAATCGCGTCCTACATCTCAGCTTCAGCTTCTTTACTCCCATCAGGCCTCCCCCAGGTCACTTGCTCTGACCAAACTCCATAAGCCCTGGGAATCCCACAGGTGATGATACATGGCCCAGACTCTCCCTCTCTGTTCATCCTCTGAGCCACATACCTGAGCTTCTGTCCCCGCAGATTGCACATAGCCGTTTGCCAGCCCCAGGGCCACCTGGAGGGGGTGGACAGTGCAGGCCCCGGACCCCTAAGACTGGTGGCTTCACATCTTCAGGGGGGCCAGACCCACCCCCAGGGAGTGACACTGTTGAGTTAATCTGGGATGGGGGAAATAGGGAAGTCACAGGAAGACTTATTGGGAAGCAGAATGTCACAGAAGTGATGGAAATCATTCCCTACCACTAAGCAAGGCCCTGCAATGCACATTCCAGAGGCTGTCATTTACACTGCAGTCTATGTGAAAGGCCATCCCTGGAGCACAACCCCAAAGTGAATAAACAGGCCCCCCCTGAAATTGTGCAACACAGTGACCCTGAAGGGCAGGTGTCTTGGGAAAGCAGATGGGATCAAAAGGGCAGAAAATCAGATAGATGAAAAGGACATCAAGAATATCAGAATTAGCCGGGCGTGGTGGTAGGCACCTGTAATCCCAGCTACTCAGGAGGCTGAGGCAGGAGAATTGCTTGAACCCAGGAGGCAGAGGTTGCAGTGAGCTGAGATTGTGCCACTGCACTCCAGCCTGGGCAACAGAGCAAGACTCCATCTCAAAAAAAAAAAAAAAAAAAACACACACACACACACAAAAACAAAGAATATTAGAGTTCTTTTAGGGGAGGAAGCATGCACTGAAAGATCAGTCACCTCAGGAAAGGCAAGGGGTCTCATAAAGACCACAGGCCTGACAAGGTTAGAGGATTGGAAGGTCAATGGGCCATGGGGAAGTTCACACAAGGATCTGGGGTTACAAGGAAAACAAGAAAATGAAAGTGGCCAGGCAGTAAGTTGGTCACAACCTCTCACCTGGGGGCTGCTGACAGGCCCGGAGAATCCTGGGGGAGCTGGAGGGGGCAGACCAGGGGACCCCATGGAAGAACTGATGACTGGAAAGGGAGAGCCCAGTGGGGGTGGTGGCATCGGGGGTGGGGGTGGGGCCCCAGAGCCTCCAAGGGATGGAGCTGTTGAAGGGGGTAGGGGTGGCCCAGGAGGAGAAGGGGGAGGGACTCCCTGGGGAAGGGGATTTGGGGAGGAGCTGTCTGGGCTTCGGGAGTCTGAGGGAGGGGTATGTACAGGCACACAGACACACAAGAGACAGAAGAGACAAAAAAAGAAAATGAGTCTTCAAACATCCAACTAGAGACTTTAATTCTCTAATACCCCACCGTGCCGGACCCAGCCCACTCCACCCATCCCCAAGTTCAGAGACACCCTGCTGTCAAACAACAGTGTAACTCCGGCTGGTCCGATGGTAGTGGGTTATCAGAACTTATTAACATTTGTGTCACTAAAATTGGTATACAACCTCCCACTGCTATATTTGACTGGCTAAAAAAACCCAAAAACAGCGTAACTCCTCATTGTGGTGAGAGGAGGGAGTTGACAAGGAGAGGAGGATAGTTCAGGTGAGGAAAATTTTCCAACCAATCCATTTGAATGAATACCAGGTCATCCCAAAGCCACACCTGTCTCGTGGGTGGGGCAGCACGTGGGGTAGACCATCGAGCCCCTCTATTCCCAGCGTAAAGCCAGGTAGCCAGAGCGTGCAAGGGAAAGAGACAGGCAGGAGAGACCCCTCCTAAGACGCAGGATCTGCCTGTAAACGCCCAAAGTCCTGAGGTTTAAGAGGAATCGTGCCCTTCCCAGGCCCGCGACCTCCGGTGCCCAAGGCCTCAAGCGGTCACAGCTAGGAGGGCGGAAGCTCCCCTTCCCCGCCCCGCCCCGGGGGGGAGGGTGCTAAGGCCCTCGGGAGGGAGGGGACGCGTGTTTACAAACAAGGGGGCGGGAGCGCAAGGAAAAGAGCACCGGGGGAGGGTGTGGGGGAGGGGTCGCAGATAAAGCGGTCACTGGCTCGCCTGCCCTTCTGCTGGGGCACTCACCCCGCCCGCTGTCGCCCATCCCGTCCCGTCCAGCCTCCCCTGGCTCCGGCTCCGGGGTTTGTTGTTCTCCGCCTGCCACCGCCGCCGCCGCCGCCGCTGCGGGATCCAGCCAGGGCCGTCGCCGCCGCCACCGGGACGCGACCCCACAATGCATTTCTTTTCGCACCCCCACCGGCCCACACTGCCCTGCGGCATGCCGCTGAGGGAGGAAGGGCGGGCGAGCGGCCCAAGACATGATCCCTGGCTGAGAGTAGGGATACCGAAGAGGTCCCAGGGATTCCCAAGGATTGATCGGAGGATTAGCTGAGCACGAGGAAGCCCCTGAGAGAAAGACTCTGGCCTGGATTGGGTCGAATTAAGCCCGTCGCTCTGCTCAGTACCAAAATGACAGCGCCAATGTGGCAGCCATCTTTGTACAGACGGGAAGTCTCGGCGCGAGTTCCCGCCCCCTCGTCTAGTTGGAAACCGAGGAGGCGGTCTCCTCCGGCCTGTTAGCCCGCCTCGCCCACCCTCCCCTCAAATCACCTCCACACTCGCGCATGCGTGTCAGTGCAGGATGGATTCGTCGCTACCGGAGTGCCGCCATATTGGTAAAGGCATTAGGGCGAAGGTGGAACGGAACTTCCTGTTCTCGCGGGATCTAAAGGCGGGACTGCCACGTCCAAGCAAACCGGGAAAGGAGAGGATCCCGGAGCCGGTGAGAATTCTCTGTTTTTTCTCTACCATCCTTTCCAGGCCTTTTCCTCACCTAATGAGTCGTAGAGACGAGGGCCCAGAGAGTCTGTAAAGTGGCTGGTGAAAGATTAGTGTCCCAGGGCCCTACATCCGGGAGGTGGTTCGGGATAAAGAGAACTAGTCTTGGGAACAATGTAGGTGGGAACTTAAGGGAATGGGAGAGCGGCCCATAGAGGTGGACGGAGGGCGCGATTGGAGTAAAGCGGACCCTGTGTAGGTATAGAGTTGAGTCAAGTGGAGTCACTGCCTCTGTCCCTCTGGTCAGCGTGATGGCCAGAGGCCTGGGGGCCCCCCACTGGGTGGCCGTGGGACTGCTGACCTGGGCGACCTTGGGGCTTCTGGTGGCTGGACTCGGGGGTCATGACGACCTGCACGACGATCTGCAAGAGGACTTCCATGGCCACAGCCACAGGCACTCACATGAAGATTTCCACCATGGCCACAGCCATGCCCATGGCCATGGCCACACTCACGAGAGCATCTGGCATGGACATACCCACGATCACGACCATGGACATTCACATGAGGATTTACACCATGGCCATAGCCATGGCTACTCCCATGAGAGCCTCTACCACAGAGGACATGGACATGACCATGAGCATAGCCATGGAGGCTATGGGGAGTCTGGGGCTCCAGGCATCAAGCAGGACCTGGATGCTGTCACTCTCTGGGCTTATGTGAGTCTCCAGGGGATGGGAGAGAGAAGGGCTGGTTCTGGATTGTTGGGAAACTCCACAGTACTTGACCTTGACTCTCCCTCACCAGGCACTGGGGGCCACAGTGCTGATCTCAGCAGCTCCATTTTTTGTCCTCTTCCTTATCCCCGTGGAGTCGAACTCTCCCCGGCATCGCTCTCTACTTCAGATCTTGCTCAGTTTTGCTTCCGGTGGGCTCCTGGGAGATGCTTTCCTGCACCTCATTCCTCATGCTCTTGGTAAGTAACCTCTGACTTCTACCTCAAATCTAACCTATTTCGTTCTTTGGAGGAAAAGGGTTCTTTCTCCTTTATGATCCCTGACCTTTCGATATTCCCCCAAATACACACTCATTGTGTCAGATATTCCCTCATCTGGTTTTCCCCCCTTCTTCCAGAACCTCATTCTCACCACACTCTGGAGCAACCCGGACATGGACACTCCCACAGTGGTGAGGAAGAGACAGATGGGGATGGGAGTTGGGGTGCTGGGGAAGGTCCGTCTCTCCCTATTCCTCACCTCCCGCACTTGAGGAGGAGGAGTCTGGAATGCACATCTCCCTTAATGTCTCAATGCCTCCATTCCCAGGCCAGGGCCCCATTCTGTCTGTGGGACTGTGGGTTCTCAGTGGAATTGTTGCCTTTCTTGTCGTGGAGAAATTTGTGAGACATGTGAAAGGAGGACATGGTCACAGTCATGGACATGGACACGCTCACAGTCATACACGTGGAAGTCATGGACATGGAAGACAAGGTGAGCCCAGGAACAACTTTCCTGAAAGCTGACTTGCCTGCCTCAGAATCTCCTCATCTTATGGCCCTCAGGAGGGAGAGGACATGTTGGAAGATCTGTTCTCCACTCTGACCAACTCTTTTCTTCCCTCAGAGCGTTCTACCAAGGAGAAGCAGAGCTCAGAGGAAGAAGAAAAGGAAACAAGAGGGGTTCAGAAGAGGCGAGGAGGGAGCACAGTACCCAAAGATGGGCCAGTGAGACCTCAGAACGCTGAAGAAGAAAAAAGAGGCTTAGGTAAGGGCCAGAGTTGGTGATAAATTTGGGCAAGGGACATCATCACAAATCACATGGAATATGTGCTGTGGGTAATGGCAGGTATCTGAGAAACACTAAAGGACTGGGTGTAAAGTGGTCTCTGAGGGGAGGTGTGAGAATAGCTGACCAAGACTGGAACAAGTGGTGATGGAAGCCTCTGATCATTTTCTCTTCTTGTCCTGTACAAGACCTGCGTGTGTCGGGGTACCTGAATCTGGCTGCTGACTTGGCACACAACTTCACTGATGGTCTGGCCATTGGGGCTTCCTTTCGAGGGGGCCGGGGACTAGGGATCCTGACCACAATGACTGTCCTGCTACATGAAGTGCCCCACGAGGTCGGAGACTTTGCCATCTTGGTCCAGTCTGGCTGCAGCAAAAAGCAGGTTGGTGATGTCTGCCAAACACAGCTGCCTCAAACCCTTTATCTCTCCTCACTCACCCTAAACCCAAACAGCCTCTTATTAGTTCCAAACAATTCATACTGTCATTGACAAGTCCTCTAGAAATGAGGGGGAAGAAGTTCTGGTTACTTTGTCCTTTAGCTCAGTATTTCTTAAACTGGTCTATAAACCATCTGAATGGTTTAGTGGAGTCTTACACACACACGCCTACTCAATCAGAAAGTCTGTGGAAAGGACCTCTGATCTCTTAAGATTTTTCAGAAATTGTCTATTCTAGACTGCTCCCTCTTCTCTTTTTATTTTGATGTTTAGTTTCCAAATCCATGTCCCCTATACCTATACCCCACCAGCCACTTCTAAACCACTGATAATCTTTAGCTATTGGTGAGTGCCTTTTTCTCTTTTCTGCCCATCAGGCGATGCGTCTGCAACTACTGACAGCAGTAGGGGCACTGGCAGGCACAGCCTGTGCCCTTCTCACTGAAGGAGGAGCAGTGGGCAGTGAAATTGCAGGTGGTGCAGGTCCTGGCTGGGTCCTGCCATTTACTGCAGGTGGCTTTATCTACGTAGCAACAGTGTCTGTGTTGCCCGAGCTGCTGAGGGAGGCATCACCATTGCAATCACTTCTGGAGGTGCTGGGGCTGCTGGGGGGAGTTATCATGATGGTGCTGATTGCCCACCTTGAGTGAGGGGTGGATAAACTACCCCTGCCCCAAACCTCTACCCCTAACTCCAGGTCAGGGGTGCGTAGAGGTTGGGGGCCCTGGCCAGGGACATCTGCCAAAGGAAGGAACTGTAGCCTGGGAGAATGGTTACTTTGGCATTAGGGCCTTCAAGGGCTGGCAGTCTTACAGAGGCTGGAGCGGTGAGAATGAGAGGCCAGAGGGACCATAGTGTTGGGCACTGTCTGACCATGTTGCATTTGGAAGGCTAAATGGGGCCATGAAGAAGGCTGGAAGGGACAGGGGGTGATGGCAGCCTACCTGGTGTCCCCTACCCCACCTGTTCTCGGAGAACCAAGTTGCTACACAGGAAGTTCTCCAAGGTCCAGTTTCCTTTCTCCCACCAGTTGGTGGAGGCTTCAGGGAAGACCAGAGTCCTGGACAGAGAGGGTAACAGGAGGAGTCGGGGATAAACATCAAACATCAATCGTGTGTCCTGATTTGGGAGTGATTGGGGGGATGGGGTGGGAGAGGGTTAGTTGGTATTCTCATGGCCTGATTTTTTTTGTTTCTATTCCTTTTATATCACTGTGTTTGAATCGAGGGGGAGGGGTGGTAACCGGAAATAAAGACCTCCGATCTTCCGCCCCACATGCAGTCTTTGTCTTTTTGGGGGGAATGGGGCCCCTTGTCTTCTCCACACCCGGGGCCCCTAAGCAGCAGTGTCGGGCCACGCCCCCTCGGTGGGAGGTCGGCCTGCGCTGGTGGCCGCAGATGGCCTAAGGCTGGCGGGCCTTTGATTGGCCCCGGCTTTGCCCTTGCCACGCCCCTCTGCGCTGGGATTGGCTTAGTGCTGGGATTCCCACCCACCCACAGCCCGCCATGGCGTCTCAGCTCCAGAACCGACTCCGCTCCGCACTGGCCTTGGTCACAGGTTGAGGGGGTTCTTTCCCCGGGCGGTTTGGGGTATTGGAGTGAGGTCAGGGGCGTGCCCTTGGAGTGCGCGGCCGCTGTGACCTCTGGCCCCTTACCCACATTTTACTTTCTGCCCTGTGACCTCTGATCCCTGCCCTCTCCTCCCCGTGCCCGGTCCGGCGTGTTCTGTCCTACCTCAGGTGCGGGGAGCGGCATCGGCCGAGCGGTCAGTGTACGCCTGGCCGGAGAGGGGGCCACCGTAGCTGCCTGCGACCTGGACCGGGCAGCGGCACAGGAGACGGTGCGGCTGCTGGGCGGGCCAGGGAGCAAGGAGGGGCCGCCCCGAGGGAACCATGCTGCCTTCCAGGCTGACGTGTCTGAGGCCAGGGCCGCCAGGTGCCTGCTGGAACAAGTGCAGGTGAACGCCAGGCCACTTTCCCCCTCTAAAGCTCTAATATTGCCTCCACTGCCCCGGCTTTTTGTGGGGGGTTTTTGATGCGTAACCTCCCCCTCCCATAGGCCTGCTTTTCTCGCCCACCATCTGTCGTTGTGTCCTGTGCGGGCATCACCCAGGATGAGTTTCTGCTGCACATGTCTGAGGATGACTGGGACAAAGTCATAGCTGTCAACCTCAAGGTGGCGATCTCTGAACCTGCGACGTTTGGCCCCCTTAGCCTGGGGAGGGAGTTGGAGGAGGGCTGTCACCCCAGCTGATCTTTTCTCCCTTGTTACCCTTTCCCGCCAGGGCACCTTCCTAGTCACTCAGGCTGCAGCACAAGCCCTGGTGTCCAATGGTTGTCGTGGTTCCATCATCAACATCAGTAGCATCGTAGGAAAGGTCAGGTTGAGTTGGACGAGGTCAGCCAGCCAAGTGGTATAGAGAGGAGAACCCCTCCTTGAGACTCCTGACTCATTCCACATCTCTGACTCACCTATAGGTGGGGAACGTGGGGCAGACAAACTATGCAGCATCCAAGGCTGGAGTGATTGGGCTGACCCAGACCGCAGCCCGGGAGCTTGGACGGTTGGTCAGATGCTTGAGGGTGCTGGGGAGCACCTGGGGGGTCTGAGGGAGGTACCAGCATTCAGCCCTCTCCAGAATCGGCAGCCACTCTCCTTCCCACAGACATGGGATCCGCTGTAACTCTGTCCTCCCAGGGTTCATTGCAACACCCATGACACAGAAAGTGCCACAGAAAGTGGTGGACAAGGTAGGAGGCTGTGGGTGGAGGGCAGAATCATTCAGAGACTCAATCTCTCTGGGCTTCACAGAGAGAGAGAGAGAGAGAGAGAGAGAATACTGGGCACAGTTCCTGGCAAACATTAAATATTCAATGAATGTATGAGAAATGAAGACAAAAAAGGGTCACAGACTCAGTCTTCAAAAAAATCCATAAAAGAAGCTTTCACCCACATGAGTATTTCCTTACAGATTACTGAAATGATCCCGATGGGACACTTGGGGGACCCTGAGGGTGAGCACTGAATGTAGTGGGGTCCCTGGGAAGGGGGCCTGAATGAAGAGATCCCCAAAGTTTGGGGATTTTCTAGGGGACTGGTGGTTGGTGTCTGTGGAGAGGTTTGTGGGGAGGGATGTCTTTGGTGGGAGATTATGGCTGTTTTGGGTCTATGGGAGTGAGCAGAATTCTGCCCTCTCCCCACCATTCTCATAGATGTGGCAGATGTGGTCGCATTCTTGGCATCTGAAGATAGTGGATACATCACAGGGACCTCAGTGGAAGTCACTGGTATGAGGCCAGCATGGGGAGGGAGAGGGCAGAGAAGTAGAACCCAGACTATATGAGAAAGCAAGTAAGGGGAGTCTGGAGCCACTGGGAAGGGCAGAGGTTCCCAAGGCCAGGGACAGAAGTGGGTACCCCCTAGCCCATTTGTGTCTCCACCCATGCATCTGTCCAAATGTTTCTGCCCCTCCCAGGAGGTCTTTTCATGTAACTGCCTCAAGGACCCTGGACTCTGCTCACCCCCCCACCACTCTGCCTGGCCTCCTGCTGATGAGGACTCTAAGTTCCCAGGATACAAAAGGGGTGGCAGTGTATGGTTCAGGAATGCTGAATATGGGAAGCAGGGGTGCTTGTGACCCTAATAAATTCCAAGTCCTCTTCCCTGCCACCTCCGGCTCTTCTTGTGTCCAAGCCCTCAGACCCTTCCCCACCTCCCCCTCCTTTCCCTTTCCCGAAGGATTGTTCCCTTTCTCTGCCTGGTCTCCCAGGGCAACCCCCGCCGCCGGGTGTGAGAGGAAAGAGTATGTGTCACTGTGTATGCGTGACACTCCGGGTCTTTTTGAAGGGAGGGGTTCGTGCGTCACCCCTTTCCACTGGTTCTGCAGCACCAGTCCCCTCCCCCCAACTCCCTGGGTTCTTATGGTCCCCAAGGGTGATTTGTTCATGGCCCCATCTTGGTGTCCAGTCTGGCCTTGAAAGGGGGTCTTGGAACAGGTGGCCCTCCCCCACCCCTCTCCTTTCTCTGAGTCCCCCCCTCCCCTTTCTCTCCACCTTACAATAGCTGCAGCCGGCCTGGGGTCGGATGGGGGGGATTAGGGGAGGGGGCCAGGATTAGGGGAATGAACCAGCCGATGAAAGGGGCTGGAGAGAGCAGGAGGGAGGGGGCTGGGAAGAGGAGGAGGAAGGGGAGGGGGGTCTGCGCTAATCGACTCTGGCGCCCACATAAGGACTGGCCACGGACTGAAGGAGAGGACAGGGAAGTAGGGGGGAACTGGGGTGGGGGGCGAGGGCACCCACTGCTGCCTTGTCCCAGGGACAGGCCACCCCCTGGCAGCCGCAGCCCAAGTCCGGGAGCCTCAGCTCGGGCGGGGACAAGATGCCCATCAGGGTCTCTAACTGCCCCCCACCCCCTCGCCCTGTATCCCTCTCATTCCCTACACTCAATGGGGATCGCTCTGCCCCTTCCTCTTCTCTTTCCTCCCCATCCCCTTCGTTTACTCTAGAGTCCTCGAAGAGGCTTCTGCCCACTTCCCACTCCAGACATTCTGCCCCTGTGTACCCCACCCACACGCGCACCCCCCCTTCCCAATGGGAGCTCCATCTTGTGTATGTCCCTGTTTCCGCGTGGTGTCTCCATTCCCCCTTTCCTCCCGTGCGCCTCCCTCCCTTCCCCGCCCCGGGCCGCGGCTCCTGATTGTCCAAACGCAATTCTCGAGTCTATGGCTCCGGCCGAGAGTTGAGTCTGGACGTCCCGAGCCGCCGCCCCCAAACCTCGAGCGGGAGAGCGGGTCGGAGGGTCTAGGGAGAGCCAAAGCAGAGGGTGGAGGGAGTCCCCAGGGTGGTAAGGGGAATCCCGGGCACATCGGGACCTAGGTGTGTTCTCAGGACTAGAAGGCTAAAGCGGCAGATCTTTTGCAGCCTTTTCCCCCGGGATCCTGGAATGGGGGTTACGGAGAAGTGAGGGGGGTTGATCCCCAGAGTCGCCAGGGTACGCAGAGTGGGGGAGGTAGCCCTTTTCACGAGCCCTCTGTCCCCTCCTGGGGTCCCAGATATTCCAGGCCCCGGCCCCCCGGAGCTGAGGCCCCGCGTGGGGGCCTCTGGAAGGGAACCGAGGCTAAGGTTGTTGGCCGCGCGACGGTGCTGGGCCGGGGGCGGAGACCGTGGTTCCCTAAGTGGCGCAGAACTCCCGGGACGCAGGATCCTCACGCGGGACGAGCCCGTCCCGTGGGCGGGAGAACCGCGGCGTCCACGTCCCGTCCCACCCGCGCCGCGAATGGTGGGTGACGTCTCCGCCGGCGGGGGGAGCGGGTGTAGCGGAGGAGCAGGCGGAAGTGACGTAGGGCCCCAGCGCCCGGGCCATGGCGGCGGCGGTGGCGGGAGCTGCTGTCTGAGCAGCGGTTGCGGACCGAGCGAACTTGGCCCAGGAGCCCGGGCCTAGGGAGAGGCGCGGCGGCGGCGGGAGCGCGAACGGCTGGAGCTGGGTGAGGGGCAGTGCCGGCGCGGGGGCGGGAGCGGGGGCGGAGAGGGGCGCTTCTGGAGGGGCGGGGTCTACGCGAGGGGCGGCCCCCCTGACGCCCTCCTCCCCTTCCCCCCACCCCCAGCCTTCTTCGCCTTCTCCTCGGCTGTGGAGCCCTGGTGGGGGGTCTGCGCCCGGTCACCATGACGACGCCGGCGAATGCCCAGAATGCCAGCAAAACGTGGGAACTGAGTCTGTATGAGCTGCACCGGACCCCGCAGGTGACAGGCATTCTCCCTTTCAGGCTTACCCCCTCCCCCAAACCCTTATATCCACAGACCGCATCACACAGCTTCTTTTCCGTAATTTGCTCTATTCTGCCTTGCCTGGCCCTACCTTTGAATCACCTTAATCTTTCCAAAGCACTTTCGCATTTAGCTCATTTAATCCTCAAAACAGCCCTGCCAGAGAGGTGGAACAAGTATTATTATCTTCATTTGAAAGATCACAAACACAAAAATTACCTTCCCTGTTCCTCATTCAGTGTCATAAGTCAGTGCACATAAGACTCACTTTGGGAGTTTATTAAAAGCAGAGCTTCATGCCCCCCAACATTCTGATTCAGTAGTGAATTGGGTTCTCAGAATCTGAATTTTTAACAGGCACCCTATGGGGTTCTAATACAGGTAGCACCAGGACTTTAAAAAATTTTGTTGAATAGTTTTTCCCAACCACAGATTTGTGCCATCTTCACTCCTAGGCCACTTAGCCACCTCAGATCCTCCTATTCCAAAGCTCCTACTCTTAGTTAATGGACACTAAAGTCTGTCTTTTCTCCATTTGCTCCAAGTCATCAGTCCTTCTCTTTCTCAGAATTCTTGTCTCCTATAGAGACCAACATGGGTCTTCTCACTGTATTTCTCAAAATTCTTATTTTATGGGCTGCTGTTTCTAAAACCCCTTTCCCTCTAACCCACACCACCTTTCTACTCACTGATGCCTTCAGGAAGCCATAATGGATGGCACAGAGATTGCTGTTTCCCCTCGGTCACTGCATTCAGAACTCATGTGCCCTATCTGCCTGGACATGCTGAAGAATACGATGACCACCAAGGAGTGCCTCCACAGATTCTGCTCTGACTGCATTGTCACAGCCCTACGGAGCGGGTAATAGGAGAGACATGTTTGAGATGAGATGAAGGGGTACAAAGTTAGGGCCCTCTCACTGGTCTTGGTTCAGCCTAGGCTTCAGTTCCCTTGACTGACCACTCAGGGCTTCCCTTCTCCTACCCCAGGAACAAGGAGTGTCCTACCTGCCGAAAGAAGCTGGTGTCCAAGCGATCCCTACGGCCAGACCCCAACTTTGATGCCCTGATCTCTAAGATCTATCCTAGCCGGGAGGAATACGAGGCCCATCAAGACCGAGTGCTTATCCGCCTGAGCCGCCTGCACAACCAGCAGGCATTGAGCTCCAGCATTGAGGAGGGGCTACGCATGCAGGCCATGCACAGGTGTGAGGGTCAGGAGAGAAGCAGAACTGATGGGATGGGTCCGTGGGTCAGTCCTTGTTGCCTGCTAGCTTCTAAGCCTCAGCATCCTAGGAGCTGACCACAGACTGATCATTAGGGCTGGAAATCATGGGTGTAAATTGCAGTTTCTTAGTAAACAACTGGCCCTGCTCTTCTTAAGAAAAATATAGGGCTGGGCACAGTGACTCACATCTGTAATCCCAGCACTTTGGGAGGTGAGGATGGGAGGATCACTTGAGCCCAGGAGTTTGAGACCACCTTGAATAACATAGGGAAATCTCATCTCTACAACAAATTAAACATTTAGCTGGGCATGGTGGCACATGCCTGTAGTCCTACCTTCTTGGGAGGCTGAGGTAATAGGATCACTTGAGCCTGGGAAGAAAGTGGATGTTGCAGTGAACCATGATCACACCACTGCACACTGCACTCCAGCCTGCTGGGCGACAGAACAAGGCCCTGTCACAAAAAAAAAAAAAGGAAAAATGTAGTTTACCCCATGACTTTCTAGAAGTTAGAACAGTAGAGCGATTTTGAGAATAAGCCCCGGATTCATACTGCTGGAAGTTAAATCACCTCCTAGGCCAGCATCTCTCAGTCTTTCATGTGTATCCAGATTACCTGTAGATCTTCAGATGCAAACTGTGATTCAGTAGGTCTAGAGTTGGGCCCGAGAGTCTGCATTTCACAAGCTCACAGGGGATGTGTATGCTGCTACCGCACTTTGAGAGGTGACAGCCTATGATCACTAACAAGTTACTTAACCTCTCTAAGCCTCAGTTTCCTCAGCCATAAAATAGAGGTAATATAATTACCTGTGTCATAGGATTCATTGTATTAGGTAAGGGGATTGGTGCAAAACACTTAGTATACTGAGTGCTTAGCACATTGTGTTTAATAAATATTAGGTATCGTCATTAGGATTTTTCTTATCTCTTAATTCTCTGAAGTTTAAAGTCTAAGCCCTTTATCCTGGATGCCTTCTAACCTTAACCACTTGCTTCTACAGGGCCCAGCGTGTGAGGCGGCCGATACCAGGGTCAGATCAGACCACAACGATGAGTGGGGGGGAAGGAGAGCCCGGGGAGGGAGAAGGGGATGGAGAAGATGTGAGCTCAGACTCCGCCCCTGACTCTGCCCCAGGCCCTGCTCCCAAGCGACCCCGTGGAGGGGGCGCAGGGGGGAGCAGTGTAGGGACAGGGGGAGGCGGCACTGGTGGGGTGGGTGGGGGTGCCGGTTCGGAAGACTCTGGTGACCGGGGAGGGACTCTGGGAGGGGGAACGCTGGGCCCCCCAAGCCCTCCTGGGGCCCCCAGCCCCCCAGAGCCAGGTGGAGAAATTGAGCTCGTGTTCCGGCCCCACCCCCTGCTCGTGGAGAAGGGAGAATACTGCCAGACGAGGTGAGGAGCCCTGTCTTTCCCCAGCCACTGAGAAACCAAAGATCACCTAGATTTCCATCAGAAGTGGGCTTTGCCCAAACCCAAAATACCACCCCAACCCAGAATCCATTTTGGAAAGCCCCTACCTCCAGTCCTCATCTGAGGCGCTCTGGCTCTAAGCCTGTCCTCCCTCCCATTCCAGGTATGTGAAGACAACTGGGAATGCCACAGTGGACCACCTCTCCAAGTACTTGGCCCTGCGCATTGCCCTCGAGCGGAGGCAACAGCAGGAAGCAGGGGAGCCAGGAGGGCCTGGAGGGGGCGCCTCTGACACCGGAGGACCTGATGGGTGTGGCGGGGAGGGTGGGGGTGCCGGAGGAGGTGACGGTCCTGAGGAGCCTGCTTTGCCCAGCCTGGAGGGCGTCAGTGAAAAGCAGTACACCATCTACATCGCACCTGGAGGCGGGGCGTTCACGGTGAGAGCTTCTGAGGGCAGTGGTAGAAGAGGGGAGAGGAGGGAGGGTGGTCTGGGCCACATAGAACCATGAGCCTGGTCTAACTCATCAGCACTCTTCCCCTATACATCCTCTATCTCTTTCTATGTCCCCTCTCCTTTCCCATCATCCATGTCCTTTTTTGCCTTATCGCTTTTATTATTCCTTTTTTCTTTCCTCCTCCCTTGGTCACCTTTTGCCTCTCATTCATTTCCTTTTCCATCTTCTCCAACTTTCCTCTCTCTTTTCCCCTCTCTCCCTTTTACCCCCTCCTCAGACGTTGAATGGCTCGCTGACCCTGGAGCTGGTGAATGAGAAATTCTGGAAGGTGTCCCGGCCACTGGAGCTGTGCTATGCTCCCACCAAGGATCCAAAGTGACCCCACCAGGGGACAGCCAGAGGAAGGGGACCATGGGGTATCCCTGTGTCCTGGTCTATCACCCCAGCTTCTTTGTCCCCCAGTACCCCCAGCCCAGCCAGCCAATAAGAGGACACAAATGAGGACACGTGGCTTTTATACAAAGTATCTATATGAGATTCTTCTATATTGTACAGAGTGGGGCAAAACACGCCCCCATCTGCTGCCTTTTCTATTGCCCTGCAACGTCCCATCTATACGAGGTGTTGGAGAAGGTGAAGAACCCTCCCATTCACGCCCGCCTACCAACAACAAACGTGCTTTTTTCCTCTTTGAAACCTGCAGTTCTGTGTGTCTGTTTATCAGGGGTGTACAAGAAAAAGAAAGGAAAATAGATTGGGGAGGGAGGCCTAGAAATAATGTAAAATCAGCCTTGGAAATGGGGAGAAAATGTCGGGTTATTCGAGATATGTCGTCGGAAACTCCAAATTAGCAAATATGTATGAAAATAGGAACCATCTATGAAGCTGGAAGAGAGGATAAAAAACAGAGGTGCCAAGTTAGACCCCAAACTTTCCCCCCTAAAACCTGAGTCGCCCAGGCTGAAATCCAGGGTTTCAACACCAAAGGGAAAGCAGGAAAATGGCTCAAAAGAGAAAGGGATGTGTGTAGATGTGGGAATGACCGTGATGTTTGGAAGTCACTGCGAGCAGCCGGTTTCTATAGCTGGAAAGAGGGAGGGAGGTGGAGAGGACTGCGGAGAAGCTCCCTGTTCGACATCCCAGTCCCCGGGCCACCTCCCAAAAAAGGGCAGGCTGGGCTGCAGACTCGGAGTGTGAGTGCACAGCCTTTGCCCGCCGGGCAGCGGGGCTGAGCGGAGGGAGGGTCGCCTGGGAACACTAGTTCTGTGCTCGTCCAGGCAGCGGCTGAGAGCAGAGGAGTGGGGGCATCAAGGAAAGCCGCGGCTGCCTTACTGGCCTCGAGTTCCGCGAGCGGGGCTGGGCACCAAGCCTGAGGCTGGGGGGACAGGGGCGCACGACTGCACTCCCGGTCCGGGGCAGTGCAGGTATTCGGGGAAGAGGAATCGCCTCTCCAGAACCGACTGCTGTTCCTTCCACCACCCGTAACCTCTCTGCCCCTCACTTCCTGTTTCCTCTGCTCTGGGTACCCCCAGCCCCTCTGGCCCCAAATTCCTCCCCCATGCTCAGTTCTCTGTCTCACTGGCAGAGGAGCCGGCCGTGTTTCCCCCTAAAGCCCGCTTGGCCCTCCCAGTTCCGCAGCTGCGCGGCCCGCCCGCCGATCCCATGGCTCCCTTCTCCACCCTTGGGATTTCTCGTTTGTTCGCCTCCTCTCCGGTACCCTCAATCCCGTAGATGCAGGTGGGCATCCTCCAGCCCCAGCAAGTACTGCGGACCAGTTGGGCTGGCTGGCCCCTTTCCTGCAGAAGCAGACAACACCCACTTCTACCCTCGTAGGAGCCCCTTTCTACACTCACTTCCCTGGAACCCGTGATCCTGACTCCCCTCCTCCCGGACCCCAAGCATCCAGGACGTGTACGGTATAAGGGGAAGTTGTAGTGGGAGGCAGGTGGGCGTTGTTCCTGGAGTTTCAGGGTAGAGAAGCAGGTGGGGAGGAGTTGGGTGAGATACAGAGGTGGAAGCCAAAAGTCTGGAGTTAACCTGACTTCTCTTCTGGCTCCAGGGGCTGCCGGGATCGTCTGTCCTCACCCTCCTTGTCCTCCCCAGCCCTAACCACCCGGCAGCCTCTTCTCTGTCTCTGCTGCCCGTCCTGCCTTCACTCTGAAACAGCCTGCCCCCTCCCGGGTCCCCAGTCCTCACCTTCGCCCCACACGCCCCCCTCTCTATTTATCACATTTCCTTTCGTGTCCCCCTAACCCCATCGCTTGGTGCGAGTGCTCTCTTGCCCTCCTCTCCCCATGACTGAACCTCACAGACATGGCTGTTTATTTAGGTGACACCATGTGGGAGACACAGAGGAACCCATTTCCATCCTGGCTCCACTGGGGCATTTCCTTTCCAAGTCCTTCAGTCCCTCCCAACCAAGCCTATGTTACTGGGTCAGGCAAGGTGAGAGATATAAAGTATGCAAAAGAAAACGTTACTATTTTGTTGAGGAACAAGATACATGTGGAATAGTTGACAATGCAGAGGAACAGGGTAGAGGAAGGAGGGTTGATACAGTATTAGAGTCAGACAAACGTGGGTTCAAATCGGCTCTGCCACTTACAAACTGAGCCACCTTGCACAAGGCACTGGGTCTTCCCTCTGTTTCTTCACCTGCAAAATGGGGGAGAGTAACAGGTTGCCCTGAGAATTGAGAGATAATACAAGTAAAGTTACACGCCTAACAGATCAGTGGCTCTCCCAGTGTGGATCCCAGACTAGCAGCATCAGCATCGCCTGGGAACTTGTTAGAAATGCAAATTCTTGGGCCCCACCCCAGATCTGCTGTTTAAGAAACTGGAGATGGGGCCAGCAATTGCATTTTCCCAAGCCCCCAAGTGCTTCTGATGTTCACACAAGGCTGAGGACACTGAAGAAGATGCCCCACAAAATGTTACGGCCTTGCCTTATACTATAAAGAATGGCAAAGGGCCCGTGTAGGGGTGCTCTGTGACTCCCAAGCAGGAGGATCACTGCAGGCCAGTAGGGAGGTGAGGAGCGGCCTCACAGAGGAGGTGGGACTGGGCTGGGGAAGGAAACAGAGAAGCCTTTCTGCAGTGGGTGAGGGAGATGGGGGGAAGCTCCCTCTCCCTTACCCTACCTACCACCCAGCACGATTTTACCTCTCAGGCTTCTCAGTCTCCAAAGCAGAGCAGACCATGTATCTGAACGCGGAAGCTGAGCTCTGGAGCCCAGAGCCTCAGGGCCCTGAGGGAAGGTTCCCCCAGGAGACCCCTGCCCAGGCAAGGCCTAACTCTGAGGGCCCTGTCCTTGCCTGGCAGCCCTCAACACCCTGGGAAGCTGCTCACAGGAGGCTGTGCTCTGGGCTTCTCCACCTTCACAGTCCACCTCAGCGAGGAGGGAGGTGCCGCTGAAACCGCCAACCACTTCTTCAGTTGGGTGTGGGGCTTAGCCTCTCCTCTCCCACCTCTGTCTCCTCTGCTTCCTCCTCCCCCATGCTGCTCTCACCTCTCTCCCCTCTCCCTGCAGGCTGGGAGCAAAGGGAGAGGAGGAGGAGAAGAGAGGACAGACCCAGCCCTCTACCTACTATGGCACTCCTTTACCTGCCAGCTGTCACAACCAACCCTTCCCCAACTCCCCTACCCGGGACCCCCATCTCCACCCACAAATCCACTCAAATTTCCTGCCTGGAATGTGGAGTCTCTTCCCACTGCTCTCACCTCTCTCAGCACAGCCTGGGCAAGGGGCCCTTCTCCTCCCCCTAATATAGGAAGTACTTCAGCCAAGGGGCCCACCTGACCCTGTGCGAACACTTTCACACAGGTGATAGGCCCTACTCCTGCAGAAAGTGTGGCCACAGCTCTTGCCACAGCTCACACCTGGCCCAGCACTGCGGCACACACCTGCCTGAACCCAATCACTGCCACCAGCGTGGCAAGGGCCTCTCCCCAAGGCTCCAGCCCGTTGCAGCCTGCCACTCTACACACAGGCAAGCAGCCTTACGTCTGTGCCACCTAAGCCTTCTTGTGGTAGATGAGGGTGCTGGCCCCCACTCCAACCTGCAACACCAGCAGCAGAACCATACCTGGGGGCGTCCCCATCACAGTGACCAGTGAGGCAAGGGCTATGGACATTGCTCAGGGCTGGTGCAGCACCAGCAAGTCTGCAGAAGCAAAGGCTGCAGGCATGGTTTCTGATACAGCCCCAGGCTGGTGCAGCATCACCAGGGCCACATCAGGGACAGGCTCTACTGCTTGCCTCTGTGGCTGTGGTTTCACTTGGAACACCCACCTGCCATGACACCAGGCCTCATATGTGGAGAGGAATGAGATGAACACAGTGGGGAGGCAGGGAATCAGAGCCCCTGTGGCTGCATCACCGCCCCCAATCTGCAGCGCTCTATGAGGGTGGCAGGGCAGCCTCAGAGACAGACTTCCTCCACCTGTGGGAGGCATAACAGAGCAGAGATCCACCCACTCCCAGCCAGGGTGACCTTCAGAGCAACCATAAGGGGTAGCTCGAGTGTCTCGCCTGAACCCACTCAAAGCTGGAATGGCCAGGTCCACTTCACTCTAGACCAAAGTGCCAAGTCCTAAGGGAGCTCCCAAGCCAGGAACTTTTCTCTGGAGAAGAATCCATACTTCTCAGGGTCTTAAAAAATTTTGTTTTTTATATAAATAAGAGGTCCTGGGGCACTTTTCCATCTCCTGTCCTCCATCGGAGAAATTTCACTAGGCTGTCTCAGACGTGCTGTTGTCGTGGATGGATTAGACTCCTTGGGACTTTCTTGAAGGGTCATTTTAAAGTGATAGCTTAGGCTGGGCATGATGGCTCATGGCTGTAATTCCAACACTGTGGGAAGCCAAGGTAGGTGGATTACTTGAGGCCAGGAGTTCAAGACCAGCCTGACCAAACCTGGCAAAACCCTGGCTATACAAAAAACACAAAAATTAGCAAGGCGTGGTGGCCCATGCCTGTAATCCCAGCTACTCAGGAGGTTAAGGCATGAGAATCACTTGAACCTGGGAGGCGGAGTTTGCAGTGGCCGAGATCACGCCACTGCACTCCAGCCTGGGCGACAGAGTGAACCTCTATCTCAAAACAGAACAAACAAAGAAAAAAATGCCCTTAAGAGTTCTTTTATAAAAATAAAAACAGAAAAAAAATAGATAACTTAATTTCCAGAGATCTCCAGGACAACCCCCTACCATCAAATCCTAGTCCCCCAACTAATCCCACCCAACCCCCAGAGGCTACTGGGTTCTTCCTGCCTCAGGTGTTCACACTACACCCGGCGCCCCTATTTGATGAGCCATCTTCCTGTGCCTACTCCTTGCTTCACCAGGTCCTGTTCTTACGAGTTTACTGTTACTCTTCATGTTATAGGGTAAGTGAGACCTTATTCTTGTATTAACTTGCCCCAGAGTATACTCTTTGGAACTCGGCAATATTTCTCCCTATGATGTACCAAGGAGGTTGATTACTGACACATGCTAGAAGAAATTAAATACGCTTAGTGGTCAAAGGATTACTTGAGAGACTGCTAATCATTTCCACCCTTTCGGGAAATGTGTATTGAGTCTACCATGTGTCAGGAGTTGTTCTGGGACCTGGGTATCATAGTCATGTGGCATAGCCCCTGCCTTCGAAGGATTTGATGTAGGGGCGGTTTAGAATGAGCATCTCAATATTGAATCCAGCACCTAGTCCTATCCATTTTATCTGCTCTAATATATCTCAAGTCTGTCCACTCGTTTTCATCCCTCCACATCCCTGGGCTAGCCACCATGTGGACCATGTGGCCTTCTCTGAGTCATTGCAGTAGCTGAAGAGGCTGGGAATGGCCTTCTCTACAGTATGACACACACCTAAGAGGGATCCTTTAAAAATGCAAATCTGATTGTTTCAGTCAGCCTCCTTAAACCTATTCAGTGGTTTTCCATTGATCTTAGGTTAAAGACCCAAGTCCTTAACCTGACCTCTAAGGCCCTGCAAGGGGTGGCCCCTCCTCTCCAGCCTCATCTCCCACCACACCCCCTCACTCGTGTGCTCCAGTTGCTGTCCACCTTGTGCTTCCTCCTGCACAGAGTCTCCAGGGAGGCTGGACCCTCTGTGGAAAGGCTCCTTCCTCTGTTCCTCTCCTCTTAGCTCCTCTTCATTCTTCAGGCCTCACCTTCTCAATAGCCTCAGGGAAGCCTTCCTGACCTTCTTTTCAGGGTCAAATTCTCCTGTTATGAGCGCTCACACTAAGGTGTACCTTTCCTCAGAGGCACTTGGCCCTGTTGGAGTTCTACATTTGTTGATGATTATGTACAGACTGATGTCTGTCTGCCCCATTGAATGTAAGCTCCCTGAGGGCAGGGACTATGACTGCAGATGCTCACTCTTGCCACTCCCTGGACCTAACACTGGATACTTTATAAATAGTGGTTGAATAGATGCATTCATGGCAGGATCTGGGCAGGAGGCTAGATATTTCAGGATTTCAGAGGTGATGAATTAAGGCCATGATTCTCCCTCCTGTAGCTGCAGCCCAAGAATCCCATGTGCTATTACCTAACACTGTTACTTCCTCCTTAATTCCTGGCATCATTCAGGTCCACAGCCCTGCCTTCATCCCAGGCTTCCTCCATCTTGCCTGTGAGACCCTCTCCCTCTTTAACTTTTTAGTTCCCCTTTCTGGTTTTGCCTCATTGACTTCAGAAGCCAGCATGGAATAATGTCGCAAGACCCAGGATCCAGAACTGGAGGCCAGGTGCAGTGGCTCACTGCTAAAATCCCAGAATTTTGGGAGGCCAAGGCAAGAGGATTGCTTGAGCTCAGAAGTTCAAGACCAGCCTGGGCAACATAGTGAGACTTCGTCTCTACAAAATATTTTTTCAACTTTTATTTTAAGTTCCGGAGTACAAGTGCAGGATGTGCAGGTTTGTTACATAGGTGAACATGTGCTATGATGGTTTGCTGCACCTGTCAACCCATCACCTAGGTATTAAACCCGGTATCCATTAGCTATTCTTCCTGATGCTCTCCCTCCTGCCACTTCCCCTTCTGACAGACTTCAGTGGGTTATTGTTCCCCCCACCCACATGTGTCCAGGTGTTTTCATCGTTCAGCTCCCACTTATAAGTGAGAACATGTGGTGTTTGGTTTTCTGTTCCTGTGTTAGTTTGCTGAAGATAGTGGCTTCCAGTTCCATCCACATCCCTGTAAAGGACATGATCTCATTCCCTTTTATGGCTGCATAGTATTCCATGGTGTACGCATACTACATTTTCTTTTTTCTTTTTTTTAAGGTGGTGTCTTGCTCTGTCACCCAGGCTGGAGAGCAGTGGCACAATCTCGGCTCACTGCAACCTCTGCCTCCTGGGTTCAAGCGATTCTTCTGCCTCAGCCTCCCAAGTAGCTGGGACTATAGGCGAGTGCCACCACACCCTGTTAATTTTTGTATTTTTAGTAGAGACAGGATTTCACCATGTTGGCCAGGCTGGTCGTGAACTTCTGACCTTGTGATCTGCCCACCTCGGCCTCCCAAAGTTCTGGGATTACAGGTATGAGCCATCGTGCCCGGCATTTTTTTTTTTTTTTTTTTTTTTTTGAGATAGAGTCTCACTCTGTCACCCAGGCTGGAGCGCATTGGCACAATCTCAGCTCACTGCAACCTCTGCCTCCCGGGTTCAAGAAATTCTCCTGCCTCAGCCTCCTGAGTAGCTAGGATTACAGGCATTTGCCACCACACCTGGCTAATTTTTTTGTATTTTTAGTAGAGACAGGGTTTCACTATGTCGGTCAGGCTGGTCTCGAACTCCTGATCCACCTGCCTCAGGCTTCCTAAGTGCTGGGATTACAAGTGTGAGCCACCACGCCTGGCTGCATACTACATTTTCTTTATCTAGTCTTTCATTGATAGGCATTTGGGTTGACGCCATGTCTTTGCTATTGTGAATAGTGCTGTAGTGAACTACAAAATATTTAAAAATTAGCCAGGTGTGGTGGCTTGTGCCTGTAGTCCCAGCTACTTGGGAGGCTAAGGTGGTAAGGTTCGTTGAACCTGGGAGTTTGAGGCTGTAGTGCTCTATGATTGAGGCTGTGAATAACCACTGTATAGTGAGAACCTGTCTATTTCTTTTTTAATCTTTTTAATCTAGCTAACTAGGAATAGAAAGTAACTTCCAAAGTCAAGACAAGGATACCAGTTTTTACTGTTTCTATTCACCTTTCTGCCAAGAAGTCTGAAGTGACACAAGAAGAAAAAGAAGAAATAAAGCCATCACTATACATAGACAATTACTATACATAGATTGCTTACTATACAAAGAAAATTCACAAGAACCTACCAACTATTAGAAATAACAATTTCCTTGCCGGGGGCAAGGAGAATACACAAACATCAATATCCTTACACCACAGCAATAAACAGATAAAAGATTTCATTTTAGGCCAGGCATCGTGGCTCACGCCTGTAATCCCAGCTCTTCCGGAGGCCAAGGCAGGCGGATCATGAGGTCAGCAGATCGAGACCGTCCTGGCTAATACAGTGAAACCCCGTCTCTACTAAAAATACAAAAAATTAGCTGGGCGAGTTGGCAGGCACCTGTAGTCCCAGCAACTGGGGAGGTTGAGGAAGGAGAATGGCGTGAACTCAGTAGGCGGAGCTTGCAGTGAGCCGAGATTGCGCCACTGCACTCCAGCCTGGGCGACAGAGCGAGACTCCGTCTCAAAAAAAAAAAAAAAGAAAAGAAAATACCATTTGTCATAACAAAAATCATAAGATACTTAGGAATAAATATAACAAAGTCTGTGTATGATATTTATGGAGAAAATTATAAAGTTTTATTAGAGAACATAAAGAAGATATAAAAGAATAGGAAGAGATCCCCTACTCACAAAGACGGAAGTTTGATATAAAGCTGATAATTTTTCTCAAATCTAAAAATTCAGTACAATTCTAAGCAAAACTCCAATCAGATATTTTATGGAACTTGACAGACTGTTCTTAAAATTCTTTTTTTTTTTGAGACGGAGTCTCACTCTGTTACCGAGGCTGGAATGCAATGGCGCGATCTCGGCTCACTGCAAGCTCCACCTCCCAGGTTCAAGTGATTCTCCTGGCTCAGCCTCCTGAGTAGCTGGGACTACAGGTGCGCACCACCACGCCCGGCTAATTTTTTTGTATTTTTAGTACAGACGGGGTTTCACCATGTTGGTCAGGCTGGTCTTGAATTCCTGACCTCGTGATCTGCCCGCCTCGGCCTCCTCAAGTGCTGGGATTATAGGCATGAGCCACCACACCCGGCCTTAAAATTCTTATGGAAGAGTAAATGGCCAAGAAAAAACAAAACTTGAAGCAGAAGAATATGAGATCCCTTGCCTAACCATATGTCACAAGTTTACTGGTTGAAACTTAGAGTGATTAAAACAGTCTAGTCCTGGTATATGCACACATAAATAGACCACAGTACAGAACAAAACTTTTTTGAATCAGATCCTAATAGGGTTTGGATCTGTGTCCCTCCCTCTCCAAATCTCATGTCGAATTGTAATCCCCTTTGTTGGAGATGGGGTCTGGTGGGAGGTGATTGGATCATGGAAATGGATTTCCCACTGGGTGCAGTTCTCATGATAGTAAGTTATCATGAGACCCGGTTGTTTAAAAGTGTGTGGAGGCCAGGTGCAGTGGCTCTTGCCTATAATCCCAGCACTTTGGGAGGCTGAGGCAGGAGGATCACTTGAGCTCAGGAGGTCAAGACCAGCCTGGACAACATGCTGAGACATCATCTCTACAAAAATACAAAAATAGTAGCCGAGCATGGTGATGCATGCCTGTGGTCCCAGCTACTCAGGAGGCTGAGGTGGGAGGATCGCTTGAGCCCAGAGGGTGGAGGTTACAGTGAACTGAGATTGTGCCACTGCATTCCAGCCTGGGTAACAGAGCAAGACTCTGTCTCAAAAAAAAAAAAAAAAAAAAGCGTGTGGCACCTCTTCCCTCTCTTCCTCCTGCTCCAGCCACGTAAGACATGCCTGCTTCCCTTTCACCTTCCACCATGATTGTAAGTTTCCTGAGGCCTCCCCAGCCATGCTTCCTATACAGCCTGTGGAACTATGAGCCAATTAAACTTTATAAATTACCTGATTTCAGGTATTTATCTATAGCAGTGCAAGAATGGACTAATACAGACCCTCAAAGATATGAGACTTGGCTATAATGGAAGTGACATAAATCAGTGGGAAAGTTCAATGGTTTTGAGTTAACTGGCTATCCAAACAAACACACAAAAAATAAATTCTACATTACATCCTACCCAGAAGTAAATTTCAGGTAGCTAGAGTAAAAAGCAAAACTGAAAACTATTCAAAGAAAATATAAGATCACATATTGATGATATCAGAATAGAGAAGGATTTCTTATACAAAATTTTAAAAGTACAAAAGTACAAGCAGTTAACAAAATGAAGAACACTATATGATTATATCAATAGATGGGGGAAAGGCGTTTGACAAAATTTAACATCCTTTCATGATACAAATTCTTAGCAAATTAGGTATAGAAAAAGTGTATCTCAACACAATAAAGCCCATATATGACAAACCCACAGCTAACATCATACATAATCATGAAAAGTTAAAAGATTTTCCTCTAAGATCAGGAACAAGACAAGGATAACCATTCTCACCATTTCTATTCAATATAGTACTAGAAGTTCTAGTCAGAACAGATAGGCAAGAGAAAGAAATACAAGACATCCAAATTGGTCAATGTTGACCAGGTTGGCCTCGAACTCATAGCCTCGCCTCCCTGTGCACCAGGACAGCTGGCTTGAGCCACTGATGCTCCCTAGGCATCCAAATTGGAAAGAAAGAAGTTAAATTGTCACTTTGTAGATGACATGATCTTATATAGAGAAATCCCTAAAGATACCACCAAAAAAACTATTAGAACTAATAAATTCAGTAAAGTTGCAGGATACAAAATCAATATTCAAAAGTCAGTAGCATTACTGTATACTAATAATGCACCAACCAAAAAAGAAATCAAGAAAGCAATCACATTTATAATAGCATCAAAAATATATACTTAGGAATAAATTTAATCAAAGAGGTGAGAAATCTGTACACTGAAAACCATAAAGCATTGAAGAAAGAAATTAAAGACACAAATAAATGGAAAGATATTCCATGTTAATGGATTGGAAAGATTAATATTGTTAAAATGTCCACACTACCCCAAACTGTAGATTCCATCCAACCTCTATCAAAATTCCAATGACATTTTCACAGAAATAGAAAAAAAATCCTAAGATTCATATGGAACCACAAAAGACAAGGACCAAAATGGCCAAAGCAATCTTGAACAAAAGGAACAAAGCTAGAGCCATCACACTACCTAATTTCAGAAGCTGCCACAAAGCTATAGTAATAAAAACAGCATGGTTCTGGAACAAAAACAGACATATAAGACCAGAATAGAGGCCAAAAATAAATCCACACATTTTATGGCCAACTGATCCTTTACAAATATGCCAAGAACATACAATGGGGAAAGGACAGTCTCCTCAATAAACAGTCCTGGGGAAACTGGATATCCACATGTAGAAGAATAAAATTTGACCATATCTCACCTCATATACAAAAATCAACTCAGGCCAGGCATAGTGGCTCACATCTGTAATCCCAGCACTTTGGGAGGCTAAGGCCAATGGGTTACTTGAGGCCAGGAGTTCGAAACCAGCCTGGCCAACATGGTGAAACCTACCAAAAACACAAAAATTAGCCAGGGGTGGTGGCACACACCTATAGTCCCAGCTACTCAGGAGGCTAAGGCACAAGAATTACTTGAATCTGGGAGGCAGAGGTTGCCAAGACCACACCACTGCACTCCAGCCTGAAGAACAGAGAGAGACTGCCTCCAAAAAAAAAAAAAAAAAAAAAAAAACTACTCAAAATGAATTAAAGACTTAAACATAAGATCTGAAATGGCGGGGTGCGGTGGCTTACACCTATAATCCCAGCACTTTGGGAGGCCAAGGCAGGTGGATCATAAGATCAAGAGATTGAGACCATCCTGGCCAACATGGTGAAGCCCCATCTCTACTAAAAATACAAAAATCAGCTGGGTGTGGTGGTGCACACCTGTAGTCCCAGCCACTCAGGAGGCTGAGGCAGGAGAATTGCTTTTCTCCTATATTTTCTTCTAGTATTTTTACAATTTCAGATCTTTTTTTTGAGATGGAGTCTCGCTCTGTTGCTGGGCTGGAGTGCAGTGGCATGATCTTGGCTTCTTGACATTGGTCTGGGCAATAATTTTTTTGGACAAATGAGATTGCATCAAATGAAAGCTTCTGAACAGCAAAGGAAACAATCAACAGACAACCTACGGAAAGGGACAAAATATTTGTAAACTATACATCTGATAAGGGGTGAATATTTTTATAAGAAACTTAATAGCAAGAGTTGTTGAAAACCAAAAATCTGATTTTTTTTCTTTAAGTTGGGGTCTCACCCTGTTGCTCAGGCTGGAATACAGTGCCGCAATAATAACTCACTGCAGCCTTCAACTCCCAGGCTCAAGCAATCCTCCCACCTCAGCTTCCCAAGTAGCTGGGACCACAGGCACACCCCACCGTGCCCTGCTAATTTTTAAAATTTTTTTGTAGAGACAGGGTTTCCCTATGTTGCCCAGATTTATCTTGAACTCCTAGGCTCAAGTGATCCTCCTGCCTTGGCCTCCCAAAGTGCTGGAATTACAAACATAAGCCACTGCATCCAGCCAAAAATCTGATTTTACAATGGGCAAATGATCTGAAAAAACATTTCTCAAAAGAAGACACATAAATGGCCAACAGGTATATGAAAAACAAATGCTCAATATTGCTAATTATCAAGGAAATGAACATTTAAACCACAGTGAGATATCACCTCATACCTGCTAAGATGGCTCTGATAAAAAAAATAAAAATAAACCAAGAGATTACAAGTGGTGGCAAGGATGTGGAGAAAAAGGAACCCTCACAAACTGTTGGTAGGAATGTAAATTTGTACACCTATTTTGGAAAACAGAATGGAGCTTCCTCAAAAAATTAAAACTACCATGTGATCCAGTAGTTCCATTATCAGGTATATTTCGAAAGAAATGAACTCAGTATGTTGAAGAGATATCTGTATTCCCAAGTTCACTGCACCATTATTCACAATAGCCAAGACATGGAAACAACCTAAGTGTCCATCAATGAATAAATAGAGAGATTATGGAACATATACACAATGGAATACTATTCAGTCTTTAAAAAGAAGGAAATTCTGTCATCTGTGACAACATGGATAAAACTAGAGGATATTATGCTAAATGAAATAAACCAGGCACAGAAAGACAAATACCATGATTTCATTTACATGTGGAACCTAAAGAGTCAAACTCAGCCAGGCATGGTGGCACGTGCCTGTAGTCCCAACTACTCGGGAGGCTGAGGCAGGAGGATCTCTTGAATCCAAGAGTTTGAGGCTGCAGTGAGCTGTGATCAGACCTCTGGACTCCAACCCAGACAACAGAGTGAGACCCTGTCTCAAAATAAATTTAAAAAAATAAATAAATAAAATAAAATTGCAGAAGCAGAGAATAGAATGGTGGCTGCACAGGGGCTAGGGGGCGGGGGGCGGGTGTGGGCAGGGATTGGAGAGCTTTAGTCAAAGGATACAAAATTTCAGTTAGGTAGAATAAATTCAGGAGATCTATTGTATAACATGATGACTAGAGTTAATAACAATGTATTGTATACTTGAAAATTGCTGGCCAGCTGCAGTGGCTTATGTCTGTAAACCCAGCACTTTGGGAGGCTGAGGTGGGTGGATCGCTTGAGACCAGTTCGACACCAGCTTGGGCAACATGGTGAGACCCCATCTCTAAAAAAAATACAAAAATTAGCTGGGCGCAGTGGCTCATGCCTGTAATCCTAGCATTTCGGGATGCCGATTGCTTGATTGCTTGACCCCAAGAATTCAAGACTAGCCTAGGTAACATAGTGAGACCCTGTCTCTACAAAAAATTGAAAAAATTAGCAGGATGTGGTGGCACGTGCCAGTAGTCCCAGCTACTTGGGAGGCTGAGAAGAGAAAATCACTTGAGCCTGGGAGGTCCAGGCTGCAGTGAGCTATAATCTTGCCACTGCACTCTAGCCTGGGCGACAGAGCAAGATCCTGTCTCAAAAAAAAAAATAAAAATAAAAATAATTGCTAGGAGAGTACATTTCAAATATCACGTTTAAAATGATAGTATGTGAGATAACAGATACAGTAATTACTCTAGCCATTACACACACACACACACACACACATATATATACACACATCATGTTGTTACACCATAGATACAATTTTTATTTGTCGACTATAAATAAATGCACAAGCAATAAAGGAAAATATTGATACATATGACCACGTTAAAACATTTTTAAGCTTTTATAAGAAATCACATAGGCCGGGCGCGATGGCTCAAGCCTGTAATCCCAGCACTTTGGGAGGCCAAGGCGGGTGGATCACAAGGTCAGGAGATTGAGACCATCCTGGCCAACATGGTGAAACCCCGTCTCTACCAAAAATACAAAAAAATTAGCTGGACGTGGTAGTGGGTGCCTGTAGTCCCAGCTACTCGGGAGGCTTAGGTAGGAGAATGGCGTGAACCCATGAGGCGGAGCTTGCAGCGAGCCGAGATTGTGCCACTGCACTCCAGCCTGGGCGACAGAGCAGGATTCCGTCTCAAAAAAAAAAAAAAAAGAAATCACGTAAAGTAAAAGACAAGCCACAGACTTAGAGAATATTCACAATCTACATAAACAACAAAGGATTATATCCAGGATTCATAAAGAAGTTGCAGATCCATATGAAAAGGACAACGCAAGAGAATATGAGCAAAAGCTGTGAATAGGTGAGTCACAAAAGAGAAACCTAATGGTCAATAAACATAAGAAAAGATGCTCAATTTAACCAGTAATGTAGAAATGCAAATCACAGCGCGAGTTACCATTTTACACCCACAAAATCACCAAAATTAAAATTATTCTAACACTGTTGACAAAAATGTGGGACAATAGGAATGCATATATTTTGTGTTGAAGTGTAAACAGATACAACAAATTTGAAGAGAATTTTGGCACCAGTTAATGCTGAAAATGAATATTCCCTATGACCCAGCAATCTTGCTTCTAGATCTATTCCTTAGAAAAACATTTCTACACATGCACAAAAAGGCGAGGATAAAAATGGTCATTGCAGTATCAGTTAATTGTCAAGAAGAAGTGGAAATAAGCTAACTGTTGTTAAGTAAAATGGATAAATAAAGTATGGTTTGTTCTTATAATGGGATACTATACGGCAGTTAAATGAATTATAGACATATTTAGCAATGTAATGAGTAAGAAACTTGCAAAAATGGATGTTGTATGATATTATTTGTGTGAGTTTTAAAATACACAAAACAGTGGTATATGTTTAGGAAAGCAAACATTTTTTAAAAGTGCAAAGTACGCATGGGAATAATTCCCAACAACTTTAGAATGATAATTACTACAAGGAAGGAGAGAAATGGGATGGGCGTTAACCCAATTTGTAATCCATTTTTTTTATTTTTAATTTTAAAGAAAAGTGATACAAAGCAGGCGATGCAAAGGTGAGGATTTGCTTAACTGGGTTGCTGTGATCATGAAATGAGCCAATCAATGGGACAGTGCTGAATGAAAGTTGTTGCCAGTCTCTTTAGAAGGGTACAATGATGGTGGCTGTGCAGGTGGAGAGATGTGATTTCCTGACCTATTCTCTCCTCCGCCCTGTGTTGAGTCTCACGCCTCCTATTGGACGGTATAAATTGGTATAAATCTTTTTTTTTTTTTTTTTTTTGAGACAGAGTCTCACTGTCACTCAGGCTGGAGCGCAGTGGCATGATCTCAGCTCACTGCAACCTCCGCCTCCCAGATTAAAGCGATTCTCCTGCCTCAGCCTCCTGAATAGCTGGGATCACAGGCAGCCGCCACCATGTCCAGCTAATTTTTGTATTTTTAGTAGAGACGGGGTTTCACCATGTTGGTCAGGCTGGTCTCAAACTCCTGACCTCGTGATCCGCCCGCTTTGGCCTCCCAAAGTGCTGGGAACAGGCATGAGTGACCACGCCCGGCTGATATAAATCTTAACAGCTACATGCCCCAATTTCCTCACCTACAAAATGTGTATATTCAAAGTGCTACCTAATAGCATTGTCGTGAGAGTAAATAAGTTGTGTGAAGTGCTTTAGAACACTTACCTGGCTTAGAGTAACTGCTCTAGGCTACTGTTTTTGTTGTTGATGCTGTTATTATGGTTGTTGTTAGGTATCACCTCCAGCTGCATATAAACTCTTTTTTAATCTCAACTTCTAAAAATCTCATAAGAACCTTACTTGGCAACGAAAGTGCCCCAAAACTGAGAAGACCCAGACTCTTCCTTCAATGATCTAGATCAATTTGCACCTCAAATTCCTGTAAGGGCCAGGCAAGTAATGTGCCAAGTGCCAAGGGAAGGCTATAACAGGCTGGAGGGCACCCTCCCCTCCTAGAGGGGCAGCAGCTCCTGGTCCAGCGTTGCAGCATAGGAATTCAGAGCTGGCACTGCCGTGATAAATTGAAAATCTCAATTTTTCTGTAAAATCACTCTTTTTATTTTTCCTTTTTTTTTTTGGCAGGATCTCACGTTGTCACCCAGGCTGGAGTACAGTGCCATGATCCCAGTTCACTGCAGCTTTGACCTCCCAGGTCCAAATGATCCTCCCATCTCAGCCTCCCAAATAGCTGGGACTACAGGTGTGTGCTGCCACACCTGGCTAATTTTGTATCATATACATATATATATAAACATACACATACACATATGTATATATACATGTATACATATGGGTTCAAGCATTCTTCTGCTAATTTTTTGTATTTTTAGTAGACGTGGGGTTTAACCATGTTGGCCAGGCTGGTCTCGAACTCCTGACCTCAAGTGATCCACCCGCCTTGGCCTCCCAAAGTGCTGGGATTACAGGCATGAGCCATCGCACCCAGCTAATTTTTTTAGTTTTTGTAGAGAGATGGTCTCACTATGTTGTCCAGGCTGGTCTCAAATTTCTGAGCTCGAGTGATCCTCCCACCTCAGCCTCCCAAAGTGCTGGAATCTCAGCCATGAGACACGGCATCTGGACAAAATATAAATGATAATGAATACACATCAATATTTTAAATCAAACACATTTAGATAAAGCTGACTTTTTGCCTGCTTTTTTTTGAAATTTTGGGCTGGGCCCAGTAGCTCACACCTGAAATCCCAGTGTTTTGGGAGGTCAAGGTGGGCAGACTGCTTGAGCCCAGTGTTTTGAGACCCCCCTGGGCAACATGGTGAAATGCCATCTCTACAAAAAATAGAAAACTTAGCCGGGCATGGTGGCACACATATGTGGCCTCAGCTACTCTGGAGGCTGAGGTAGAAGGATTGCCTGAGCCTGGGAGGTTGAGGCTGTAGTGAGCCATGATTGTGCCACTGCACTCCAGCCTGGTGACAGAGTGAGACCCTGTCTCAAAAAAATATATACATATTTATTAATTTTTATTATGTATTGCTATGGCATAAATGTTTGTGCCCCCCTAAAATTCATAAATTGAAACCTAATCCCCAATGTGGTGATATTAAGAGATGGGGCCTTTAGAAGGTGATTAGGTCATGAGGGGCCTGTCCTCATGAATGGGATTAATGCCGTTATAAAAGAAGCCCAGGCTGGGTGCGGTGGCTCATGCCTGTAATCCTAGCACTTTGGGAGGCTCAGGCGGGCTAATCATTTGAGGTCGGTAGTTCAAGACAAGCCTGGTCAACATGGAGAAACCCCATCTCTACTAAAAACACAAAAATTAGCCAGTCATGGTGGCAGGCATTTGTAATCCCAGCTATTCAGGAGGCTGAGGCAAGAGAATCACTTGAACCCTGGAGGCAGAGCTTGCAGTAAACCGAGATCACGCCACTGCACTCTAGCCTAGGTGACACAGCGAGACCCTGTCTTAAAAAAAAGAGGCCCAAAGGAGCTTGTTTGCCCCTTCCACCCGTGAAGATGCAGCAAGAAGGCGCCATCTATGAAGCAAAGTGTGCCCTCACTGGCTACCAAATCTGCTGGCACCACCTGCTTGGACATTCTAGCCTCCAGAACTGTAAGCAGTGTTTATTATTTATAAATTGCTCAGTGTAAGGTATTTTGTTATAGCAGTCTGAATGGACTAAGACAGATAGTTTTATAAAAATTAAACTACAGTTGGCATTTTGTATCTGTAGGTCCACACCTATGGATTCAACCAACTGAAGAATAAAAATATTTTTAAAATATATATGGCCAGTCCGGGCGCGGTGGCTCACGCCTGTAATCCCAGCACTTTGGGAGGTCAAGGCGGGTGGATCACAAAGTCAGGAGATCAAGACCATCCTGGCTAACGCGGTGAAACCCCATCTCTACTAAAAATGCAAAAAAATTAGCCGGGCATGGTGGCGGGCACCTGTAATCCCAGCTACTTGGAAGGCTGAGGTAGGAGAATGGCGTGAACCTGGGAGGCAGAGTTTGCAGTGAGCTGATATCCTGCCATAGCACTCCAGCCTGGGTGACACAGCAAGACTGTCAGAAAGAAAGAAAGGAAGGAAGGAAGGAAGGAAGGAAGGAAGGGAAGGGAAGGAAGGAAGGAAAGAAAGAAAAAATAATACAAATAAAAAATACAGTATAACATATATTTATACAGCATTTACATTGCGATAGGCACCATAGATAACCTAGGGATGATTTAAAGTATGTGGAAGAATGTGCATAGGTTATATGCAAATACTATGCCATGTTATACAAGGGGTTTGAACATCAGTGGGGGTTTTGGAATCAATCCCTGGTGAATACTGAGGATGATTGTATTCATAATCTCGTATTCAATGTCCATCTATTACAACATAGAGAATCAATATCATACTTCACAAGAGTTATATCTAGACCTACATGTATTCAATTTTTTTTTCAATAGGCTTTTGGGGAACAGGTGGTGTTCAGTTACATGAATAAGTTATTTAGTGGTGATTTCTGAGATTTTGGTGCCCCCATCACAGGAGGAGTGTACACTGTAAATGTGTAGTTTTTTATCCCTCACCACCCCTCCCACCACATGCATATAAATTTAACAGTAATAAGGATTGTTTAATACAGCAACATGTTCCTCAGCTATCCTTTGCAACTGTTGTAAATGCAGCACAACATACATCCATACCTCTAAAACAAAGAGAAACAAGAAAAACCACACTCAACACTATTGGGAAATGATACTTTGTCATGCTATTTGAGAGGTAATATTTAACAAGCTGGTTAAAGTGATTTCACTTACATGTTTCCACTGCTTAAATCCTCCCTACACTCCAAAGCAGTACATGCTTCAGAATCCAGGCAGAGGCACAACCTCAGATTTTCACAGAATTGGCTATAGTCATCTTTTGTTTCCAGGATACAGGGCAAGAGATTACAGAAGTCACCATTCCCCAGGGCTTGAACGGCGTTGATTACAAGAGCAGATGTGTAAGATTTCAGGTTGTGCTGTTCCAGCACTGACAGCAGATCAGTGACAGAGGTGCCCAGGTGTCATGTAATAAATGTGTGTGATAAGTTGTTTGTGATAGGTGAATCCCCCTAAAGTATGTGGGCCAGGGCAGGGCCCCTGTGGTTCAGATCTGAGGATGATACTGCTTCTGTGGGAAGATCATGACTTCTGTTTCAAATATGCTAAGTTAAGCTGGGCACCGTGGCTCATGCCTGTAATCCCAGCACTTTGGGAAGCTGAGGCAGGTGGATCACCTGAGGTCAGGAGTTTGAGACCAGCCTGGCCAACATGGTGAAACCCCATCTCTACTGAAAATACAAAAAGTTTGCCGGGTGTCGTGGCGGATGCCTGTAATCCCAGCTACTCCGGAGGCTGAGGTAGGAGAATCACTTGAACCCAGGAGGCGGAGGTTGCAGTGAGCCAAGGTCTTGCCACTGCACCCCAGCCTGGCCAACAAGAGCGAAACTCTGTCTCCCAAAAAAAAAAAAAAAAAAGCTAAGTTAGTAATACCTTTGGGACATCCAAGTAGGGATGCCAGGCAGGAAGGTGGTCAAATCTGGAGATTTGAGGCAAGAGATAAATTTGAGAGTAACCAGCTGATGGGAACTGAAGCCACAGGACAGGTGTGATCCCCTAGAAGGAAAGGGTAGCATAAGAAGAGGAGGGTCCAGGACCGACCTCTCTTGATGAACTCCAATATGACCAGGTGATTTCAGTCAAAGGCGGAGTGAGCCGGCTGAGGGGTGGAAGAGCAGCCGATGGAGGGATGGGAGGAAGCCAGAAGAGGCCAAATCCTGGAGGCCAAAAAACGACAGTGTTTCAAGAAAGAACTGGCCAGCAACGTCAGCTACTAGTGGCAGTTCAAGTAAGAAGAAAACGAAACAATGGACTTAATGACATAAAGTTCATTGCAAAAAAACATTTGAGTAGCAGCAAGGTAGAGATAAACACCAGCCTGAAAGGGTCGAGCAGTGAGTGGAAGTGAGAGAATTTTGCCCAGTTTTTTTATTATGAAAAATTTCAAACATACAGAAAACTTGAAAATATAATACAATATTGTTTGTATGTCGATCATTTTACTTAGATTTAACAATTGTTATTTATACATATATACAAATATTTATATATTATATATATACAAACATATATATATACACACACATATATATATGGTTCTTTTTTTTTTTTTTCCAAGACAGGGTCTCACTTCATCGCACAGGGTGGAGTGCAGTGACCTGATCATAGCTCATCTCAGCTTCAAACTTTTGGGCTCAAGCGATCCTCCCACCTCAGCCTCTCAAGTAACTGGGGCCACAGGTGCATGGCACCATGCCCGGCTAATTTTTAAATTTTTTGTAGAGACAAGGTATCGCCTTGTTGCCCAGCTGGTCTCAAACTGGACTCAGGTGATCCTCTTGCTTTGGCCTCCCAAAGTTCTGGGATTACAGACATGAGCCACAGTGCCAAGGCCTATATACGTCTTTGTGGGCTTGTTTTTAGTTTTTTGTTTTGAGATGGAATTTCGCTCTTGTTGCCCAAGCTGGAGTGCAATGGCGCGATCTCGGCTGTACGCAACCTCCGCCTACTGGGTTCAAGCAATTCTCCTGCCTCAGACTCCCGAGTAGCTGTGATTACAGGCATGCGCCACCACGCCAAGCTAATTTTGTATTTTTACTATAGATGGGGTTTCTCCATGTTGGTCAGGCTGGTCTTGAACTTCCGACCTCAGGTGATCCGCCTGCCTCAGCCTCCCAAAGTGCTCGGATTGATTACGGGCATGAGCCACTGTGCCCAGCCCTTTTTTTTTTTTTTTAAACATAGAAATTGTTGAGTGACTACTAAAACATTCTTGGACCATATGAAAATATAGGAAAGCATGTGCTTCACACCTAAGTACCTCAGCATGCATCTCCCAAAAATAAGGAGATTCCATAACCACAATACGTAATCACAGCTAAGAAAATAATGATCATGGCCAGGCACGGTGGCTCACACCTGTAATCCCAGCATTTTGGGAGGCTGAGGCAGGAGGATCACAAGGTCAACAGATTGAGACCATCCTGGCCAATATGGTGAAACCCCGTCTCTACTAAAAATACAAAAATTAGCCGGGCGTGGTGGTGCATACCTATAATCCCAGCTACTTGGGAGGCTGAGGCAGGAGAATTGCTTGAACCCAGTAGGGACAGGTTGCAGTGAGCTGAGATTGCGCCACTGACCTCCAGCCTGGTGACAGAGCAAGACTCAGTCTCAAAAAAAAAAACAAAATTAGAAAATAACGATCATTTCTTCACTTCATCTGATAGCAGAATATACTCAAATATTCCCCAGTTAGCCTCAAAATGTCTTTTATATATATATTTATATATATATATCTTTCTTTTTAATTTCTTTCCTTCCTTTCTTCTGTTTTTCCTTCCTTCCTTCCTTTCTCTCTCTCCTCCCTTTCCTTCTTTCTTTTTTGACTGGGTCTCACTGTCACCCAGGCTAGAGTGCAGCAGTGCAATCACAGCTCACTACAACCTCCACCTCCCAGGCTCAAGTGATCCTCCCACCTCAGCCTCCTAAGTAGCTGGAACTACTATTTAGGTGTGACCCACCACACCTGACTAATTTTTGTATTTTTTTTTTTTGTAGAGACAGGGTTTTTCTCTGTTGCCCAGGTGGGTCTTGAACTCCTGAGCTTAAGTAATCCACCTGCCTTGAACTCCTGAGCTCAAGCAAAGTGCTGGAATTACAGGCGTGAGCCACTGCATCCAGCCTATGCATATATTTCAAATCAGGATCAAATCAAGGTACATGCGCTGCATGCATTGTGTTCCTCTTGGAGGGGTGTGGATCTGGTGACAGATGGTTGAGGGAGCTCACCTCTGATGACTTTCATTTTCTCTGTGACATAAGAGGGAGGTCATCAAGTGAGCATGAGGTGAGAGACAGAAGAGCCTCAGAGGTTCAAGGATCAGGGAGGTTTAACGTAGCCATTGACCAGAGTGATGTGGTTGGGCCACTAAACAATTCTGGGAGCCTCCTTAGAGTTCATGATCATGAGTGAGGAGTGGGAACCATTTCCTGATTGTGTGATTTCCCCCACCACCACCAACAGTTCTTGGCTATCAGAGTAAAATCCTGAAGAAAACAGATCACTGGGCTCATCCAGGGTTGGGGTTTTGCCACTTGGGTACAAAGGATGAAAATACAGAGGGGAAGGGGAGTTGGCGATATTGTCCAGAGAGGTGTTGAAATGAAGGGTTGTGGAGTTGAGCTGAATAGGGAGGGGCTCATAAGCTGGAAGACGGAAGGCATCATTGATCCAAAGGTCCTAGGAGACTGAAAATTGGTTGCGAGGAGGGCAGACAGACTGATGGACAGACGGTTAGGAGGTGGGGGCCAAGAGCAGGCTGCTTGACTGATTCTCAAGGAGGGGCTCTTTCAGGTGATAAGGTCCAGGGTATGACAATGAGAATGTGTGGCCGAGTTGGAGAGGAGAAGATTCTTGGGGATTAAGTGGCCAGGTTATTGAGAGGTCAAGTAGGGAATGGATCCTCCAGGTGGACAATGAAGTCTCCCAGAGGGAGGACTCAATGCAAAGACAGACGGTCAGCTGGGCCAGCGTTCCCCTGAGTGAGGTGGAGGGGTCTGGCAGACAGTAGCAGTGAGAAAGGAAGAGGAAAGTTTAGCCTAATTGCAGTGCCTGGAAGGCCGCGGGTTATTTTAAACTAGAGTTGGGGGCTGGGGGAGGAGTAGTCCGGAGGCAGCAATCTGAAGCCAGGAGAGCACCCTCAGCTGTAAGAAAATCAACAGCTCTCATTTCAGAAGCCTGCAAAGGAGGTAGTGCCCTCAAGGGAGAGTTAAATTTCACTTAACGCCAGGAAGTGGAGGGAATGCTCCAAGGAGAAGCTAAGGGTATGAGGGGGGCTGCAGTTTATTAGAGGGCACAGGCAGGTTAGGGAGGGGGAAAGTGGAGGGCTGAGTCAGAGCCAGAAGGTACAGAGTGTCATGGAGACACAGTGCAATAGAGTAGGTGGGCTTGGGAGTTTATGTTTTCACTATGAAATGATAAAAACAAGGACAGGAGGCAGGCTGGATTTCACCCAGTTAGTTTCTTGGAAGCTGTAAAAAGTGGCGTTTAAGAATGTAGCCTTGGCCAGGCACGATGGCTTATGCCTGTATCCCAGCACTTTGGAAGGCCAAGGCAGGCGGATCGCTTGAGGTCAGGAGTTTGAGACCAGCATGGCCAATATGGTGAAGCCCCGTCTCTATTAAAAATAGAAAAAACAGCCAGGAGTGGTGGCAGGTGCCTGTAATCCCAGCTACTCGAGAGGCTGAGGCAGGAGAATTGCTTGAACCCGGGAGGCGGAGGTTCCAGTGAGCCAAGATCACGCCACTGCACCACTCCAGCCTGGGGGACAGAGCAAGACTCGTCTCATTAAAAAAAAAAAAAAAAAGAATGTAGCTTCAGGCGGGGTGCAATAGCTCACGCCTCTAATCCCAGCACTTTGGGAGGCCAGGAGTACAAGACCAGCCTAGCAAACATGGTGAAACCCCATCTCTACTAAAAAAAATACAAACATTAGCCAGGTGTGGTGGTATGCACCTGTAATCCCAGCTACTTGGGAAGCTTAGGTAGGAGGATGACTTGAGCCCAGAAGGTGGAGGTTGCAGTGAGCCAAGATGGTGCCACCACACTCCAGCCTGAGCAACAAAGCCAGACCCTGTCTCAAAAAAAAAAAAAAAAAGAAAAGAAAAGAAAGAAAAGGAAGGAAGGAAGGAAGGAGAGAGAGAGAAAGAAAGAAAAGATAAAGAAATAAAGAAAGAAAGGCAGGCAAGAAAGTGGCTTCTAAAGCAGAACTGGCTGCATTCCAATTCCAGCTTTGTCATGCACTAACTGTCCTGTCTATAACCTTGGCAAGGTCTCTGGGCATCAATTTCCTCTCTGTAAAATGGGGATAACACTAGTACCCACCTCACAGGGTTGCTGTGACAATTCAAAGATGCAATGTGTTAAATGTTGATATGGTTTGGATCTGTGTCCCCACCAAATCTCATGTAGTCCCAGTGTTGGAGGTGGAGCCTGGTGAGAGGTGGTTGGATTATGGGAGTGGATTCTCACGAATGGTTTAGCACCATCCTCCTGGTGCTGTTCTCATGATAGAGAGTTCTGGCAAGCTCTGGTTGTTTAAAAGTGTGCCGCACCTCCTCCCTCTCTCTCGGCTCCTGCCATGTGAGAAGGCTCGCTCCTCCTTTGCCTTCTGCCATAATTGTAAGTTTCTGGAGACCTCCCCAGAAGGCAAGCAGATGCCAGCATCATGCTTCCTGTACAGCCCACAGAACCATGAGCCAATTAAACCTCTTTTTTTTTTTGAGATAGGGTCTTGCTCTGTCGCCCAGGCAGTGGCGCAATCACAGCTCACTGTAGCCTCTACCTTCTGGTCTGAAGCAATTCTCCCACCTCAGCTCCCCAAGTAGCTAGAACCACAAGCACATGCCACCATACCCAGCTAAGTTTTGAATTTTTTATAGAGACGGGTTTTTGCCATGTTGCCCAGGCTGGTCTCAAACTCTTGAGCTCAAGTGATTAACCCTCCGGCCTCAGCCTCCCAAAGTGCTGCTAGGATTACAAGCATGAGCCACTGTGCCCAGCAAACATCTTTTCTTTTCTTTTTTTCCGAGACGGAGTCTTGCTCTGTCACCCAGGCTGGAGTGCAGTGGCATGATCTTGGCTCACTGCAACCTCTGCCTCCCCGGATCAAGTGATTCTCCTGCTTCAGCCTCCCAAGTAGCTGGGATTACAGGTGCTGGCCACCATGCCCGGCTAATTTTTGTATTCTTAGTAGAAACGGGGTTTCACCATATTGGCCAGGCTGGTCTCAAACTCCTGACCTCAAGTGATCCACCTGCCTCAGCCACCCAAAGTGCTGGGACTACAGGCATGAGCCACCGCGCCCGGCAACCTCTTTTCTTTATAAGTTACCCAGTTTCAGGTATTTCTTTATAGCAGTGCGAGAAGGGACTAATGCAAATGTTTACAACAGTGCGCAAATATTTATAACAGTGCTTGGGCTGTCACCTCAGACACACTTGGTGGAGCCTTGCAGGCCCAGCAGAGCAGCCTCTTTGATTACCTGAACCCTGCCCCTGGCTAGGTAGGAAACATGAAGTGGATGATAATGATGACTTGATGAGCAGTTGTGAATGCATAAATTATATGGAGACACTAAGGACTGCAACAGACAAGAAGATCTCAGTGACAAACGGGTTATTTAGGGCAGCAGCCAACTGACTCCCACAATGAGTGGGATCTGGACAAGAAGGCGTGGTTTCCCAAGGCCACTGAAGGTTTCATTGCTACATACCCAGCCAAGTGTGGCTTTTCTAATGGTGGGGCATCTAGCTCTCCTGCAAATGTACAAAATGTCAATGCTAGGAATGCAGAATTTCTGCAAAGAAAACCCCCCAAACCCACTGATCCTAAAAACAGGGGAGATAAAAGAAAAATGGAATGAGGATAATTTCATGTTGAAGAAGACAGAAATACAAATGTCTATATATCTGGTTTGCCTCCAGGAGAAATCCTCAGAAGACTTCAAAGTCAAGCTTTATGAAGATGATCAAAGAAATCTTAAAGGAGATGCGCTTTGCTGTTACTTGAAGAGGGAATCTGTGGGCCTTCCATTAAAGCTTTTGGATGAAAATGAAATTAGAGGCTGTAGGCCAGGTGCAGTGGCTCACGCCTGTAATCCAAGCACTTTGGGAAGCTGAGGCAGGTGGATCACCTGAGGCCAGGAGTTTGAGACCAGCCTGGCCAACATGGCAAAACACCGTCCCTATTAAAAATACAAACATTAGCCGGGCATGGTGGTGCATACCTGTAGTTCCAGCTACTCAGGAGGCTGAGGCAGCAGAATCGCTTGAACCCTGGAGGCAGAGGCTGCAGTGAGCCGAGATCATGTCATTGCACTCCAGCCTGGGCAACAAGAGTGAAATTCCATCTCAAAAAAAAAAAAAAAAAAAAAAGAGGTTACAAGAAGAAGCTGTCACTACAACAAAAGCTGTTGGTCTGGGGATCTGCAAGGGAGCTGGGCCATCCAGAAGGTACCATAAGCAAGTTGTCATAATCAAACATATGTTTCATCCTATGGATATTTTTGGTTGTTTTGTTTGTTTTCTGAGATAAGGTCTCACTATTGCTCAGGCTGGAGTACAGTGGCGTGATCACAGCTCACTGTGCAGCCTCAACCTCCTGGGCTCAAGGAATCCTCCTATCTCAGCTTCCCAAGTAGCTGGGACCACAGGTGTACACCACCATTCCTGGCTAATTTTTTTAAAAAAATTTTTGTAGGCCGGGCATGGTGGCTCACACCTGTAATCCCAGCACTTTGGGAGGCTGAGGCGGGTAGATCACGAGGTCAGGAGTTCGAGACCAGCCTGGCCAACGTGGTAAAACCCTGTCTCTACTAAAAATACAAAAATTAGCTGGGCATGGTGGTGGATGCCTGCAATCCCAGCTACTCGGGAGCTGAGGCAGAGAGTCGCTTGAACCCTGGAGGCGGAGGTTGCAGCGAGCCGAGATTGCACCACTGCACTCCAGCCTGGGCGACAGAGTGAGATTCCGTCTCAAAAAAAAAAATTTTTTTTTGTAGAGAAGGTGTCTCACCATGTTTCCCAGGCTGGTCTTGAACTCCTGGGCTCAAGAGATCTGCCCCTTGGCCTCCCAAGGTGTTGTAGTCACAGGCATGGGTCACTGCACCCGGCCCATCCTGTGGATTTTAAGGATGATGAGTTGGTGCTAAATGAGCTCAGAGAACTTTCAGTGCTCAACATTGAGACCAATGAGGAATGTTTTGTTTGACAGACTCATGGATGGTGTGGACTCTGTGTTCTGGAGGAATGCAGAGGAAACGGATTATTATATTCAAGTCCTCCTTGGAAGGTGGTTTGTTGACCCAGACATGGAATAAGGTTACAGACTATTAGGTTCAGGGGACCTCAGGAAAAAGGAGGAAAATCTAAGGGGATGGGAGGCTTTCCTCAGTGCCTGTGAGGCCAACAGACACTTTCAATCTCCAATGTGTGTATGCTTCAGAAAGGGCAAGATGTTGGCTGTCCTTTCACTCTCCACCAGCTGAAATGTGGTCTCTTCCCATTATCGCCATTCTGACCACTCTTCCCAAGTCACAGACACTTCTCAGATGCCAAACCCAAAAGGCGTGGCTGAATTCATTTGCATCAACTCAGGCAATGAATTTGGGAGGAGAGTTCGCTTGTCAGAACGTAAGAACGTCACATTTTGCAGTTGGTAATGTGGAGTCTAGGGACCCTTGGAATCACTTCCCTAGCTGATCGCCAGCACACCCTCTTTCATTCATTCAATCACACTTTAGCTTAGGTGCAGCTGGGAAGGGACTTCGCGGATGTAATTAAAGTCACAAATTGGTTTATCTTGAGGTAATCCAAAGGGAGACTGTGCAGGAGAGGTCTGACTCAATCACATCCAAAGCCTTCAGTGGTGGCTGGAGAGGAGAAAACACATTTCTGCACTTAGGAACCTCCTTTCTCACCTCAATTCTAGCAGCTCAGATGAGGTGTCAGCTCCCTGCAGGCTCTGGATGAGTCCGTGGGGCCACAGAAAAAAGAACTGCAGAAAACTCAGGAATAAAAATGGAGACAGTGACACTTCCAAGTAAAACTACTAGAAGTCTTCAGAAAGTAAGGCAAGAAAAGGAAACTTGAGGACCAGAGAAGCTGCCAGGCCAGTTCATTAAGCCTTGGCTTGACCAGGAAATCCAGTGTTTTCTTGAAGGATGGAAAATCTGGAGATGAAGAATGGGAATCATGTACTGTCAAACGCAGTTGCCAAGGGGTTCAAGCCCAGGGGTGTGAAGAAGAGCTGAGACCTGCCTACAGATGCCAAGATTGCAGGGCTCATCCTGGACTATTAATGAGACCATCCAGAGGCCAAGGAGCTTACAGGGCTCACCTTTGGGGATACTGGCCCAGCAGTGCTGCAGATCCTACCCTGAGTAGAGTGACATGAGAACTGGGCTGGGGGAGTTGAGGAGAAAAGGAAGTCTCAAAGGCTCTGTGTGTTTGTGTGTGTGTGTGTGTGTGTGTGTGTGTGTGTGTGTCTGTGTGTGTGTGTGTAAACTGGAAATGGTTAAACTCCCCTGTGTGCAGTGGCATACCAAGCAGGGTGGAGTGGGGGGAGGAGGCTACACTGCAAGGGGTATTTTGTCACTAACATTTTTTTATAATTGCTGGTGCGCAGTATCAATAAAAAGTTGGCTTCAGGCTGGGCGCAGTGGCTCACACCTGTAATCCTAGCACTTTGGGAGGATGAGGTGGGCAGATCACCTGAGGTCAGGAGTTCAAGACCAGCCTGGCCAACGTGGTAAAACCCCGTCTCTACTAAAAACACAAAAATTAGCCTGGCGTGGTGGTGTGTGCCTGTAATGCCAGCTACCTGGGAGGCTGAGGCAGGAGAATCACTGGAACCCGGGAGGCAGAGGCTGCAGTGAGCCAAGATGGTGCCACTGCACTCCAGCCTGGGCCAAAGAGTCAGACTCCATCTCAAAAAAAAAAAAAAAAAAAAAAGTTGGTTTTAGAATTATTTTTAAATTCTCCACAGACAATACACCTTCTTATTACCTGCACCTGGAACAACCATCCCCACTCCCTGCCCATGGTAAGCTGCAGCCTGTGTGTCCTATGTGGGTAAACAGTCCAGCTCTACCAGATTGTAAATGGGGTTGGGGGGTCGGGGTAGAGGGCATGGCGAGTAAGGATTATTTTTCGCATAATAACAGTTTTATGCAGCATGGTTTTGTACAAGAGAAGTGTTTTCTAAATATTTGGCAAATAAATGAATAATTGAATTTGAGTAATAATGAAGAAAATATGAGCAGGAATTTTACAAGAAGACCTTTAGTTTAAACAAGAAGAAAGCAAGCCAGGCACGGTGGCTCATGCCTGTAATCCCAGCACTTTGGGAGGCTGAGGTGGGTGGATCACCTGATGTCAGGAGTTCAAGACCAGCCTGGCCAACATGGTGAAACCCCATCTCTACTAAATATACAAAAAAATAGCTGGGCATGGTGGTGGATGCCTGCAATCCCACCTACTTGGGAGGCTGAGGCAGGAGAATCACTTGAACCCGGGAGGCAGAGGTTGCAGTGAGCCAAGATTGTGCCACTGCACTCCAGCCTGGGTGACAGGGCAAGACTCCGTCTCAAAAAAAAAAAAAAAAAAGAAGAAGAAGAAGGCATTCCTAATTACCCTGGTTGTAAGATAATACAAAACAGGAAATGACAGCATCATTAGAGATTTAAGGTTTCTTAACTTTTTACGTCTAGGACAGGTTTTGGAAGTCTGGTGAAGTCTGTGGAGTGTCAGAATAATCTTCAACTGCATAAAGTAAAATAAATGGGATTACAAAGGAAAACAATCATATTGAAGTACAGTTGTCAAAATGAAACAAAATGTGTAAGAAGAAGATCTAGTGGTGAGTCTAACCACTACCACTAACTACAAAGTAACCGTGAGCATACATGACATTTTGAAATTTCTGCAACTACTGGAAGATGACACAAATGTGTAAATTCTATTAACAACAGTCACATGTACTACAAATACCGGTGTAGGTTTATTGCCTACATTTATCATTGGAGAAAATGCTAAATTTCAGTTAGAGATTAGTGAAAATGAAATGTAATTTTCTCCTATTTTTGTTTGCCCTTTGGGATCCTGGATGAAGAGCCCTGCATTACACTGGGCACAGTGGCTCATGCCTGCAATCCCAGCTACTAAGGAGGCTGAGGTAGGAGGATCGCTGGAGCCTAGGAAGTTGAGGCTACAGTGAGCCGTGATCGTGCCACTCACTGCACTCCAGCCTCGGCAATAGAGCGAAACCCAGAAAGAAGAAAGAAAAGAAAAGAGAGAGAGAAGGAAGGAAGGAGAAAGAAAGAGAAGAAAGAAGAAAGGAGGGAGGGAGGGAAGGAGGGAGGAAGGAAGGAAGGAAGGAAAGAAGGAAAGAAGGAAGGAAGGAAAGAAGGAAAGAAGGAAAGAAAAGAATGAAAGGCCAGGCACGGCAGCTTACTCCTGTAATCCCAGCACTTTGGGAGGCCAAGGCAGGTGGATCACCTGAGGTTGGGAGTTTGAGACGAGCCTGACCAACAAGGAGAAACCCCATCTCTACTAAAAATACAAAATTAGCTGGGCATGGTGGCACATGCCTGTAATCCCAGCTACTCGGGAGGCTGAGGCACGAGAATTGCTTGGCCCAGGGAGGTGGCAGTTGTGGTGAGCTGAGATCGTGCCGTTGCACTCTAGCCTGGGCAACAAGAGTGAAACTCCGTCTCAAAAAAAAAAAGAAAGAAAGAAAAGAAAAGAAAGAAAGAAAAGAAAGAAAGAAAGAAAGAAAGAAAGAAAGAAAGAAAGAAAGAAAGAAAGAAGAAAGAAAGAAAGAAAGAAAGAAAGAAAGAAAGAAAGAAAGAAAGAAAGAAAGAAAGAAAGAAAGAAGGAAAATAGCTCTGCATGAGAGCCAGTGATGTCTCAGAGTGGGAAGGAAGCCAGGTCAACATGTTGCCCCTACCAACAAGCCCTTAGGTTGACAGGAGGTGCCTCTCCCAGCTTTACATTCAGAGCCAACCTCCCCAGGAGGCTCTTTTCCATCCTAAGCCTTGTTTCAGGGATCAGGCAGTGGCAACTCTCCACATGCCTGCATGCTTCCATCTGAACCAATGTTGAAGGCTCTTCTACTATTCAAAGCCCCTAAGGATGTAACATTTGGAGAAAATATGCTAAAAAGACCTGGTACTCAGAGACAATTTTCTCCAAATGTTTGAATGGGAGCATCAAATGAGTCCCCAGCCTTGAAGGTTGGGTTGGTCTGGGGAGGAAAACTAATTGTCCTTTCAGCTCAGCTATATCATCAGTCCCAAGGCAGACGTTCAGAAGATTCTTTTCTAGTTCATAGGGAAAATGACACTTAATCCTATGAGAGCCCCAAAGGCAGAGGACATGGGATGTGGTATCAGGAACCTGGAAGACATGCTTTTGCAATGGGGTACACAGCACTTAAGTGAGGGAAACCACCAGGAAGTGGCACTGGCCCTGGAATTCCCTTCATGTCACACAGGGACAGAGAGGAAACTAACATTTTCTAAGGACTTATTCCATACCAGGGGCTGCACATTCTGTGTCTTATATCTATTACAAACTGTTTCTTCATAAGGCAGGTGATTTGTTTTTCTTTTCTTCTTTTCTTTCTTTTTTTTTTTTTTTTGAGACAGGGTCTCCCTCTGTCACCTGGGCTGGAGTCTAGTGGTGCCATCTCGGCTCACTGCAACCTCTGCCTCCCCAAGCAATCCTCCTGCCTCTCAGCCTCCGGAGTAGCTGGGATTACTGGCATGCACCACCACACCCAGCTAATTTTTGTATTTTTGGTAGAGACAGAGTTTCGCCATGTTGCTCAGGCTAGTCTCGAACTCCTGTGCTCAAGTGATCTGCCCACCTCAGCCTCCCAAAGTGCTAGGATTACAGGCGTGGACCACCATGCCCTGCCTGTTTTGTGATCTGCCCGCCTCGGCCTCCCAAAGTGCTGGGATTACAGGCATGAGCCACCACGCCTGGCTAGTGCCTGTATGTGTGTATGTGTGTGTGTATGTATATATATATATATATATATATATATATATATATATATATATATATATATATACTTTTTTTTTTTTTTTTTTGAGACAGAATCTTGCTCTTTTGCCCAGACTGGAGTGAAATGGTGTGATCTTGGCTCACTGCCAACTTCTGCCCCCTGAGTTCAAGCAATTCTCCTGCCTCAGCCTCCCAAGTAGTTGGGATTACAGGCACCTGCCACCATGCCTGGCTAATTTTTGTATTTTTAGTAGGGACAGGGTTTTGCCATGTTGGCCAGGCTGGTCTCAAATTCCTGACCTCAGGTGATCCACCTGCCTCAGCCTCCCAAGTAGTTGGGATTACAGGCGCCTGCCACCATGCCTGGCTAATTTTTTTATTTTTAGTAGAGACACGGTTTTGCCATGTTGGCCAGGCTGGTCTCAAATTCCTGACCTCAGGTGATCCACCTGCCTCAGCCTCCCAAAGTGTTAGGATTACAGGCGTGAGCCACCGCACCCAGCCTTTTCATATATATATATATATATATATACTTTTTTTTTTGAGACAGAGTTTCGCTCTTGTTGCCCAGGCTGGAGTGCAATGGCGCAATCTTGGCTCACCACAACCTCCTCTGGGTTAGGGCAATTCTCCTGCCTCAGCCTCTCGAGTAGCTGAGATTACAGGTATGTGCCACCATGCCTAGCTGATTTTTTATATTTTTAGTAGAGATGGGGTTTCTCCATGTTGGTCAGGCTGGTCTTGAACTCCAAAACCGCAGGTGATCCGCCCACCTCAGCCTCCCAAAGTGCTGGGATTACAGGCGTGAGCCACCGCGCAGGGCCTCTTTTCATATATTTTTAACTAAATTAATAAAACAGCTGGGGCAGTGGCTCATGCCTGTAATTCCAACACTTTGGGAGGCCGAGGTAGGAGATCACTTGAGCTCAGGAGTTCAAGACCAGCCTGGGCAACATGGTGAAACCTCGTTTACCAAAAAATACAAAAATTAGCCAGGTGTGGTGGCACATGACTGTAGTCCCAGCTATCCCAGAGGCTGAGGTGGGAGGATTGCTTAAATCCATGAGGTCGAGGCTGCAGTAAACTGTGATCATGCCACTGCATTCCAGCCTGGGTAACTGAGCAAGACTCTGTCTCAAAAAACTAAAAACTAGGCAGGCGTGGTGGCTCATGCCTGTAATCCCAGCACTTTGGGAGGCCGAGGCAGGCAGATCACATGAGGCCAGGAGTTTGAGACCAGCCCAGCCAACATGGCAAACATGTATTTCAGTGTCTACTGAAAATACAAAAATTAGCTGGATGTGGTGGTGCGTGCCAGTAATCCCAGCTACTCAGTAGGCTAAGCCAGGGGAATCGCTTGAACCCGGGAGGCAGAGGTTGCAGTGAGCCGAGATGGTGCCTCTGCACTCCAGCCTGGGCAACAGAGCGAGACCCTGTCTCAAAAACACAAACAAATAAAGAAAACTCCAAAAAACTGAAAAGTAAATAAATAAATAAAACAAAACAAAATGTGGAAGCAATAGCAAAGGCTTGACCTTGCTCCAAAATCACAGGTTTTTTTTAAGCTGTGTTCTTATAAACTTCCAAATGAGATGAAGATAAACTTCTGCTGAGAGGGGCATGGTCATGACTTACAGTTTGGGCAGGACAAAGTATTTTCCATCACACACACACACACACACACACACACACACACACACACACACTCACCTTCACACATACGGTGTTATTTCTACTAAGTTGTACTTGATTCTTCTCCAGTGGCTCTGTCTGGAGTTTATTTAATGTTACTAGTTTGCCAATGAATAGACTAAGACAATAAGCAATTTTGCTTTTATTTCTTTATTTTAAAAAACTGCTTGTTAGTCTTATGAGAAAACAAAGTGAAGAATAAAGGTAACTACTGCATGTACCACAGTAGCGAGAGAAAAAAGAGTGTCAATTAATCTAATTGATAGTCAGAGGATTGCATGGCTATTAGTGATGGAGTCGGGATTTGGGCACGTGTACATTTGTTGGATTTTGCAGCCTGGCATCTATATCCCATTTGTCTGGTGGCAAGATCCCATTTTTGCGTTGGGGCCATTATCCTCCAACATTGGGTAGTCTATGGTACTATTCCTCAAGGGACCCTCCCCTTCCTCAGATGAGTGTGAGCACCTGACCCACCCTAAGCCTATTGGAGTTCTCTCTTTTTGATCCAAAGTAGAAGCACTGACCATTGGTGTCTGCTGCCTGGATGCTGGAACTATCCTGGCTTCTGTCCTTTCCAAAGACCGCCTGTTCAGCTTTTCCTTCAGTTCTGTAAATATTTTTTCAATAATTTACTATTACTTATTAATCTGTTGCTTCTCTACAACCGGCTGCCTCCTCAGCTCCATGACTCCCAGCCTGGAGTCATAGAACAAAAGCTGAATGTGGGCACAGAAGGTTCAGCCACTGAGTGCCTATATGGTTTTGAACTCATTATTTGAAATTCAAGCTCATTACCTGAAACAGGAAGAACACCTCCTCATAAGGCTGGTATGTGAATTCAATTAGATGAAATATGTGCTCTCCGAGATCAAGGACTTTGATTTAGTCTCTGCTGAATCCGCAGTGCCTATCACAGAACACAGAGAAGAGCTTCAATAAATGTGTTGGTTTAATGACAACTGCTTCTGAAAACACTTTGTTAACGCTAGTACGTAACATGAATAGCTGTGTCCATTATGTCCAGGGTGAAGTCAGCCAATTTCGATTCTCCTCTCCTTAAAGTTTTGTCTTGCTTTCTCTTTCTTTCCTTGAATCTTCACACTAAATCTACTTTGTTTTTTAATTTTTTAAAAAGAGATAGAGTCTCACTCTGTCACCCAGGCTGGAGTGCAGTAGTGCAATCATAGCTCACTGCAATCTCTAACTCCTGTTCTCAAGCAATCCTCCTGCCTCAGCCTCACAACTAGCTGGGACCACAGGCATGGGCCACCATGCTTGGCTTTTTGCTTTTTTTTTTTTTTTTTTTTTTGGTAGAGATGGGTCTCCCTATGTTGCCCAGGCTAGTCTCAAACTCCTGTGCTCAAGATCCTCTGGCCTCTGCCTTCCAAAAGGATTACAGGCATGAGTCACCACCCTGGGCCTCTGACTACTTTATTTTAAAGCCCAGCCAATTTATATCTTTTTATTATTATTATTATTATTATTTTTGAGACAGAGTCTCACTGTCACCCAGGCTGGAGTGCAGTGGCCATCTCGGCTCATTACAACCTCCGCCTCCCAGGTTCAAGCGACTCTCCTGACTCAGCCACCCTAGTAGCTGGGATTATAGGCAGGCACCACCACGCCAGGCTAATTTTTGTATTTTTAGTAGAGATGGGTTTTCGCCATATTGGCCAGGCTGGTCTAGAACTCCTGGCCTTAAGGGATCTTCCCGCCTCGGCTTCCCAAAGTTCTGGGATCCCAGGTGTCAGCCACCTCGCCAGGCTGCTTGATATCTTAAAATCAGAAAAGCCACCCATCTTAAGTGGAGGGTGGGTGGGTCCATATTTACAGGAATGGAAGAAAGGAGGATGTTCCCTCTCTTTTGTCCACGTTCAGCAGCTCTGAAATTAATGCCAAGGCGAGCAAACGCCCGCCCCCCACCCCCTGCCGCCCTCGCCTTATGCCGAGACTTTGCTGTTGAACACGAAGTAAACGTTTCCCAGAAAGCCCAGTTTAAGAAACAATTCAGGGCGAGGTGAGGGCACAAAGGTAGAGAAATAAGGGGAAATGATATTTCTTTAAAGAACAGAGATCCCTGAATAGCACCGGGGGCCGTTACAGCCCATGAGGACATCTCCGAGTCCTTCTATATGACACTAGGGACCCCCGTGCCATATACAGACACTGTTCTCAGAGATTAGAAAGGGGAAAGAGGATATTGCCACAGTTCTGTCCTTCGAAATGACTCCAGATGCTTCTGAGTCTGTGAGGCCCCTGTGTCCGTCATCAGCAAAACAAGTGAGGGAGAAGTTTGAGGAGTGATGACCCTAGCAGTTATGGGTTTAAGCCTGGGAATCTTAAGCCACAGAGCAGAGGATTTGGGGGCTGAAGAAAAAGACCCTCCGCAGCTTCAGCGCGAAGAGGGCGGCGGGGACCGGGGTGGTGGGGGTGGAACCTCGCCGCCTTCCGAAGCAGGAGTAAGCTGCAGAGGCTGCGCGGGGGTTTGAGCGGAGCGAGAACAGCTCCTTCCCTTGATCATGCTGCCCTCCGGAGGTCAGTTTAGGTATCGCCGCTCCCTTTCACGCTGTTTTGTCTCTTCACCGTCTGTTCTGGATCATCCTGTCCAGAGAGACCGTTGGGTCAGAGGGTTCCTGTGGACCCCTGGGGCGAGCTTAATGTCCCCGAAAACTGCGTGCTCCAGTATCACTTGAATGCCCACCGGGTTCCGGAATCACGAGTCTCCAGAGCTGTCCCTTCGCCCCACGGCTCACATTCCAGGTCTGCCCCTCAGTGACTTCTGCAACAACACGCGCTTCTCGATCAGCTCTGAGGATTTGGGTTCTGCGACGGACAGGGGAAGGAAAGAAGGAAGGCTGTGAAGAACCGTGGTGCCTGCCTGCACAGCCCTCCTCGCGTGCGAGCATTAGTTGGCTAAAGTCGCCTGTCTCGACAGTCTCCCCTGCGGGGTATCTGGGGACCCTTTCTTTGGGAATCCACGCTCTTTGTCAGAGTAGCCAATGCCTCTCCTGTCCAAAATCTCATACCCTTGGCCCTTCTCCCGTCCTCGCGCTGAGGCTGGAGTCAGGTCAAATGTCAGAACATCTGGATGTCCCAAGAGTGACACCTGGGAGTGGGTGGGCAAGAAACCAGTAGCGGGAAGGGAAAGTGGAGGAGCAGAGGATTCCCGGGGCCGGCGTCTGGGGTGAGCTCGCGGCCCCTCAGAGCCTGGCACATCGCCGCCTGGCATCCGGCAGGCGTGAGGGAACGCATAGCGCAGCGAGTCAGGCGGGGTAAACCCGGAGCAACGCGGAGGCGGTGATCTGGGCAAGGGCGAGGTCAGTTAAGGACGCAGTTCTGGCCCCGCCCTCAAGGCACGCCTGGCCAATCAGGAATCGCTGATTCACCAAGCCTCTCCTCCTGCGCTCGCCCTCTTCTGCACTTCGGTCTCAGGCGCAAACACGTTCAAAGTCGCTAGGCCAAAGCGCTGAGATACGGTTTCCCAAGCCAATTAGAGAGCGGCTCTCGGATATGGGGCGGAACCCTGAAAAGGCGAGAGCTGAGATGCCGCTCCGTTCTGCCTTACCACGCCGCCCCCCAGCGTCCGCCAATTAGGAGAGCCCGGAGCCGGATCCACTCTCAGCCTCAGGAAGCAGCAGCCTCCGCTCCGCGGCGGGTGTGCTCGGCAGTCACAGACCCACTCAGGACACCTCCCGTTGCCGACGGGCTAGACCTGCATCCGAAGGGCCTAAGCGGGGAGGAACCGCTTTCCACCACTCTCCAGGGACCTGGGGAGGGAATGTTTAGGCCGTAGGGGTGGAGGACACAGGAAACGTAACATTTTTCCTTAACTGCGCCTCTCTTCTTAGGCCTTAAAGGGGTCCCCGTGTCTCTCCAGTCTAGAGCCTAAGTTCAAACGAGGCGTATAGGCGAGGACAGCAGGAAGGCTCCAAGTCAAACAAACGGATGGTACGAATTTCGCCTGGTCTAGCCCTGCCCCAACGGTGTGGGTGTGGGTTGGGTGCTGCAGCCCCCGAGCAAGGGGCTGTCACAGCCACAACCAGAGGAGCTATGGAGCTGCTACGGAGGAGGGATTCCAGAGTCAGCTTGGGCTTGTCCCAAGGGAGCCCTTGGGACAGTGTCTGGGGCTGCGCGGCCTGGTTCTCATCCCTTGCAGCATCTGCTATTTTAGCCAGGGGCCACCTTCCTCCAATGGCCTGGGAGTAGCTAGAGGTTAGAGGTTACACCCACCAGAAGGGATGTAAGCCCAGGAAGTAGTCAGAAAGGAAAGGTCATTCTAGAGATGGGGCCACCTGAAAAACCTTCAGGAGGAAGGAGAAAGGAAATGGGATAAGTGTCATGTCATACTAAATATTTATTTTCTGCAGACTGACTTCGGAGTAATTCTTGAGCCAGGAGGGGAGAGGTTAGTGTTCAAATTGCTGAGATCTTAGGTCAAAAAGCTACAGAAAAGAAATCACTTTGAAAAACACAATGACTCAGAGGCAGTCACCCCTTGCCAGCAATTCCAAGAGCTGAGGAGGCTTCATGCCTCAGGACATGGTGACTAGTTGAGTGAACCAGAGATTGAGGCAGTGGTTTTTACAGGGGAAGAAACAAGCCTTGGGTGTATGGGAGCAGGAAAGGAGGGTGACAGACTGGAGAAATGATAAAGGCCATTTTGGAAGCCCACAGGGAAGTGGTCTTGGGAAACCTGAAGACACTGGGATATTCAGAAGGCCAAGGGGATCCAGCTTATCCTGTTGGGCAAGGTGCTGGGAGTGAAGGCAGGTAAGCCATGTCAAGGGCCTGGGAAGCAAGGGGAAAACTGGAAGGGGTACCCCAGGTGAAGAAGGGTATGGAATGGGGTGCAGAAGTCCATGGAGATGACCGGCAGATCTCAGGGCGGTTTCTGGCACATCAGAAGTTGGGCTTATGCTTCTTGAGCTCCACCATAAGGTGGTGAATGTTGATGAGCTCAGCCCGGGCAGGGAGGGCTCGGAGCTGCGGCTGGGACAGCACCCGGTGGAAGCGATGATAGAGCTGGATCAGCTGGGTCAGCGCTCCCTGGTCAAAGAAAGTCATTGAGGGATCAAACCGTAAAATGGTGCTAATAGTGATGATTAAGAATCAGGTTAGGCGGCCAGGCGCAGTGGCTCACACTTGTAATCCCAGCACTGTGGGAGGCCATGGCGGGCAGATCACGAGGTCAGGAATTCGAGACCAGCCTGGCCAACACAGTGAAACCCCATCTCTACTACAAATACGAAAATTAGCTGGTTGTGGTGGCAGGCACCTGTAATCCCAGCTACTTGGGAGGCTGAGGCAGGAAAATCACTTGAACCTGGGAGGCAGAGGTTGCAGTGAGCCGAGACTGTGCCACTGCACTCCAGCCTGGACAACAGAGCTAGACTCTGTCTCAAAAAAAAAACAAAACAAACAAACAAAAAAGAATCAGGTTAGGGCTCATACAGAACTTTGGGCACAGCTAGTAACTGAAGACCAAGGGTCACTTAGATGATGCTGAGCCCAGCAAAAAGATGGGGAAAATAATTAATGATGGGGGATCTGAGTGGGGCCTGGGACTTGCAGGTCACCTGAATGATACTGGTGCCATTTCTGAAGTTGGTGAAACTCCGCATTACATCCTGACTCAGAGATTCCACTGATGATTTCCAGGAACTACCAAAGCCACGGATCAGCTGAGTTACCCGGGCTAATAGCAGGAGGAAACAGTGTCAGAGAGGGATCTGGCTGATCTTCAACTCCACTAAGTTCTCCCCAAGGTATAGCCATCCTTATCATCAAACCCTCTTTTCTGGTATTCTCTCAATCCAGTCTTTCATACTCTATTCCCCCACCATGTAATCTGCATCCTTTCATTTTTCTTTTCCACTTCCCTTACCACTGATCCCATCATTACCATATTTTCCTCATACCTTCTTCCCCTCGAAGTCGCTCAGCCTGTCCACGCTCAATCAAAGCCTCAGCCTCCTTCACAAATGCCACTAAACCCCCAAAAGGGGGAGACAGCAACTCTTCAATGAATTCCTGGAAAGACACAAACACATATACACAGGTGTCCTGGTGTCAGCAGATTTGCCCAATTCTGGCATCATGACTAATGTAGATCCATCTGAATGGCATCTTTCAGCTGCTGCAAAAGTTAAGGAAAATCCTCTATGGAGAAAAATATCCTCAATCCTAATTTTGGCCCATACAGTTCCCCTGGTTAAGATCAAACAATGAACTCAAAGATCACTAGACACAAAAGAAGGGCAGCTACCAAGAGAGTCAGCAGACACAATAAGCAATAGCTGCTGACCTTAAGAACTATCCGATACGGATAGCAGTTGTACTGTGTGCAATGTCTAAAGTTAAGGATAGGCCGGGCACAGTGGCTCACGCCTGTAATCCCAGCACTTTGGGAGGCTGAGGTGGGCAGATCACCTGAGGTCAGGAGTTCAAGACCAGCCTGGCCAACATGATGAAACCCCATCTCTACTAAAAATACAAAAATTAGCTGGGCATGATGGTGGATGCCTATAATCCCAGCTACTCGGGAGACTGAGGCAAGAGAATCACTTGAACTTGGGAGGCGGAGGTTGCAGTGAGCAGAGATCATGCCACTGCACTCCAGCCTGGATGACAGAGCAAGACTCCGTCTCAAAAAAAAAAAAAAAAAAGGATGTAAAAATGACCAATTAGTAAGAACTATGAGGAATGAACAGACTTGAAAAAAGGAAATTTTTTTAGATATGAAAAGCCAGTTTTAGAAAGTCAACAGATTAACAAGAATTATACAATGAATTAGAATTTATAACTGAAGAAAGGACTCAGAATGTAGCACAGACAGAAGATGGAAAATTTTGAGATAGTAGGAGATACAGAAATCTAATTAATGTATCTAGGCACTGAAATTGATGGCTACTAACATCACAAAGAGAGCCAAGAAGACATTATGTGCTTCCTGATGGAAATACATACCACTACCTCTCAAATATCCCTGTAGAAAAAAAAAAACTAATTTAAATCTGACCAAGCCTTTCCATCTAATTACACACTTATGAGAAATACACCAGACAGAGGAAGTTTGGCCACACCATGGAATGCAGTCAGCAAAATCTAAACTGTACATCATTCTAGATGACAAATGACTCAATAACTCAGTTTCTTCCAAAAATAAATTGCAGAGGAGATGGAAGGGAAATCTATAGACTAAAAAAAGACACATATATGGACTTTATATGGATCCTGATTTGAACCATAAAAATCATTTATGAAGGCCAGGCACAGTGGCTCATGCCTGTAATCCCAGCATTTTGGGAGGCTGAGGCGGGTAGATCACCTGAGGTCAGGAGTTTGAGACCAGCCTGGCCAACATGGTGAAATCCTGTCTCTACTAAAAATACAAAAATTAGCTGGGCGTGGTGGTGGGTGTCTATAATCCCAGCTACTCAGGAGACTGAGGCAGGAGAATTGCTTGAACCCGGGAGGCAGATGTTGGAGTGTGCCAAGATCGGGCCATTGCACTCCAGCCTGGAGGCAACAAGAGTGAAACTGTGTCTCAAAAAAAAAAAAAAAAAAATCACTTATGAAATAACTGGGAAAATCTGAATAGTTATTTTAGATAAGATAATTTTTTTAAGTGTGATAATGTATTGTAGTTTTTAAAACCATCTGTTACCAGGTGTGGTGGCACACACCTGTAGTCCCAGTTACTTAGGAGGCTGAGGTGGGAGGATCACTTGAGCCCAGGAGTTCGAGGCTGCAGGGAGTTATATCATGCTACTACACTCCAGCCTGGGCACTACAGCAAGGCCCTATCTCAAAAATAATTTTCTTAATAAAAATAACATTCTGATACAGATGAAGTGATAATATTCATCTGTATATGTATAAGATTTAATTCAAAGTAACTGGGGGACACAGAAGGAGGATAAGCAATAGGTGTTGGTATAGATGAAACAAAACTGTCCGTGAACTGCTATACACCGAATATCACTGATGATGCCTGGGGGTTCACTATGCTTTTCTAATAGCATAGTGAAATTTCCCATAATAAAATGTTAATTTTTGTTTAATGTAAAAGGGAGATTCAAACAAAAAAACTCATAAAAGCAAACAACCCAGACAGAAAGATCTGGTAAGAAGAAAGTGAAATTATTATTCCATTTAAAAATAAATTATTAATACTAAAATTAGCCAGGTGTGGTGGTGCATGCCTGTAACCCCAGCTACTCAGGGAGACTGAGGCAGAAGAATCACTTGAACCGGGAGGCAGAGGTTGTAGTGAGCCAAGATCATGTCACTGCACTCCAGCCTGGGCGACAGAGCAGCAACTTGTCTCAGTAAATAAATAAATAAATAAATAAATAAAAATTGTATCTTTTCTATTCTTCCCTCAAAATATTCACTTATATCCACTGAGGGTGTCAAATAACTAATATGCTGCAAGGAAGGATCTTTCTATAATCAAGGCATCTTTGTGATGTGATTTTGGACAGAGATTAAATAACCAAATTCAACCTATTACAGTTGCCTAAATGCAGTCTCACACACACATATACAAACAATAATGTAGCAGTGTACGGTGGGGCACAGGGAGTAGACTTGCCAAAGAAAAGTTGAACTAACAGTGATGACCCCTGCTAGGCAGGAGCCATAAATTATATAATGTGTTGTAAGCATGATATATACACCTGATTTTGAAGACTTCATCTTAGAATAAATTTTAAGTATATCTTTTTTTTCTTTTTTTTTTTCGGAAACAGGGTCTTGCTCCATCACCCACGCTGGAGTGCAGTGGCACAATCACAGCTCACTACAACCTCAACTTTCCTGGCTCAGTGATTATCCCACCTCAGCCTCCTGAGTAGCTGGGACTAACAGGCATGTGCCAACATGTCCCACTCATTTTTTTTTTATTTTTTGTAGAGATGGGTTTCACCATGTTGTCCAGGCTGGTCTCAAACTCCTGGGCTCAAGCGATCCTCCCTGCCTTGGCCTGTGCTGGGATTACAGGTGTGAGCCACCGTGCTGGCCTCAGTACTATTTTTTATTGATTATATGTTGAAATAATAATATTTTGGATGTAGTGGTTTAAAAAATTATTTCATCTGTTTCTCCTTACTTTTTAATGTAGCTTCTAGAAAATTTAAAATTATTTAAGTGGCTCACATTTGTGGCATGCATTATATTCCTATAGGAGTACTGGTCTGGACTTAGATGAACTTTAAGCTTTCTATAACGCAAAAGAGAACACCTTGATAGCAGAGGAGTGACCAGAGGAAACAGTGCACTGGGCTTTAACAATCTTTCCTACGTAGTATGAAGCAGCAGCTGACCAAAAAGGACCAGAAGCATTGATGGCAGCTGGCGAGTCTCTATACCTGGCAAATCCAGTGACAAATCCCAGCTGCTCTCAGCAGAAACAACTGGTTTAAGTGCATCTTTGTGGGTGCCTTAATCTCCTGCAATGATCCCGCCTCAGCCTCCCAAGCAGCTAGAACTACAAATGCATGCCACTACGCCTGGCTTTTTTTTTTTTTTTTTTAAAGAAATGGGGTCTTAGCCGGGCATGGTGGCTAACACCTGTAATCCCAGCACTTTGGGAGGCCAAGGCGGGCAGATGACGAGGTCAGATCAAGACCATCCTGGCTAACATGGTGAAACCCCCCGTCTCTACTAAAAATACAAAATACAAAAAAAATACCAGGCATGGTGCTGGGCACCTGTAGTCTCAGCTACTCGGGAGGCTGAGGCAGGAAGAATGGCATGAACCCGGGAGGCGGAGCTTGCAGTGAGCTGAGATTGCACCACTGCACCACTCCAGCCTGGGAGACAGAGGGAGACTCTGTCTAAAAAAAAAAAAAAAAAAAAGAAATGGAGTCTCACTATGTTGCCCAGGCAGATCCCCTCAAACTCTCAAACTCCTGGGCTCAAGAGAGTCTCCCATCTCAGCATCCCAAAGTGCTGGGATTACAGGCATGAGCCACAGCACCAGCAACAATTCTTTCAAAATCAGGAATATGAAAAGGGTTCTCACTATCACCTTTCTGTTCAACTTCTAAACATCATCCTGGGAGTGTTAGCCAGTAGAATAAGAAATCAAAAACATAAGATGTTAAAGACAAAAAACTAGAAAAGATTTATTTATTCCTAGTAGAACTAAACATACGTATTATACCCACCTAAAAATATGGCAAACGACTTACAGTGTCTTTGTGCTGAAAATTTAAAAAGGTTATCAAAAGACATTAAAAGACTCTCTTAAAAATTGGAGGAGGAGGCCAGGTGGAGTGGCTCACATCTGTAATCCCAGTTTAGTGAGACACTACAAAAAATTAAATTTTTAAATTTTGTATTCTCTACAGAAAAAAAAAAGCCAAGTGTGGTGCTGTGTGCCTCTAGTCCTAGCTACTCGGGAGGCTGAGACAAGAGAAGCACTTGAACCCAGGAATTCAAGGCTGCAGTGAGCTATGATTGTGCCACTGCACTCCAACCTGAGTGACAGAGCAAAACCTGTCTCAAAAAAAAAAAAAAGGATAGGGAGCCCATGATCATGATCATGGATAGGAAGTTTCAATATCATAAAGTATCAATTCTTCCAAATTAGTCTATAGACAATGTAATTCTAATCAAAATCCTTAAAGACTTTTTAAAATGTGAAAACTTTTCGAGACCAGCCTAGCCAACACGGTGAAACCCCATCTCTACTAAAAATACAAAAATTAGCTGGGTGTGGTGGCACATGCCTGTAATCCTAGCTACTCAGGAGGCTGAGGCAGGAGAATCACTTGAACCCAGGAGGCAGAGGTTGCAGTGCGCTGAGATTGTGGCCCTGCACTCCAGCCTGGGTGACAAGAGTGAGACTCTGTCTAAAAAAAAAAAAAAAGAAAAGAAAAAAAAAGAAAAGAAAAAGATTTTCTATAAATGGTTCTGGGCCAACCATCCACATAAAAAAAAGAAATAGATCCCTACCTCACATCACACACAAAAATTAATTCCAAGTAAATTTGAGACTTAAAGGTAACAAAAAAATTCTCTCTATATATTTGTTTATTCTTTAATTTTATTATTATTTTTTGAGACAGGGTCTCACTCTGTTGCCCAGGCTGGAGTGCAGCAGCACAAACAGGGCTCACTGCAGCCTCGACCTCCCAGGCTCAAGTGATCCTCCCACCTCAGCTACCTGAGTAGCAGAGACTACAGGTGTGTGCCACTATGCTTGGCTAATATATTTTTTTAATTTTTTGTAGAGATGAGGTCTCACTATACTGCCTAGGCTGGTCTCAAACTCCTGGCTTCAAGCAATCTTCCTGCCTTGGCCTCCCAAAGTGCTGGGATTACAGGCTTTAGCCACTGCACCTGGCCAAAATTCTACAATATTAAGAAGAAAATGTAGCATAATATTTTTCTGGCCTTGGAGTAATAAGGAATTTCATTTTTTTTTTTTTTAAACGGAGTCTCACTCTATCACCAGTCTGGAGTGCAGTGGCACGATCTTGGCTCACTGCATCCTCCACCTCCCTGGTTCAAGTGATTCTCCTGCCTCAGCCTCATGAGTAGCTAGGACTACAGGTATGCATCACCACGCCCAGCTAATTTTTTTGTATTTTTAGTAGAGACGAGGTTTCACCATGTTGGCCAGGATGGTCTCGATCCCGTGACCTCGTAATCCACCCGCCTCAGCCTCCCAAAGTACTGGGATTACAGGCGTGAGCCACCACACCCAGCCCAGGAATTTCTTAAACAGGACAAAAATAGTCAGGCGTGGTAGATGGTGGCTGTAAGCCCAGCACTTTGGGAGGCTGATGCGGGAGGATCACTTGAGGCCAGGAGTTTGAGACCAGCCTGGGCAACATAGTGAGACTCTGTCTCTACAAAACAACAACAACAACAAAAATTAGCTGGGCATATGGCACACACCTGTAGTCCTAGTTACTTGGGAGGCTGAGGGAGGAGGGTTGCCTGAGCCCAGGAGGTTGAGGCTACAGTGAGCCATGATCACACTACTGCATTCCAGCTTGGGTGACAGAGCAAGACTGTTACTAAAAACAAAGACATAAAAATGAAGGACAGATAAATTCAATCATATTAAAATTACAAATTTCTTTAATCAAAAAGCAACATTAAAAAAACAAAGGCTGGACGCGGTGGCTCATGCCTGTAATCCCAGCATTTTGGGAGGCTGAGGCGGATGGATCACCTGAGGTCAGGCGTTCAAGACTGGCCTGGCCAACATGGCAAAACCCATCTCTACTAAATATACAAAAATTAGCCGGGCGTGGTAGCACACGCCTGTAATCCCAGCTACTCAGGAGGCTGAGAAAGGATAAGTGCTTGAACCCGGGAGGCAGAGGTGCAGTGAGCTGAGATCACACCATTGCACTCCAGCCTCGGCAACATGAGTGAAACTCCATCTCAAAAAAAAAAAAAAAAAAGGTGCAAGGATTTCTTGAGCCCAGGAGCCTGGGCAACACAGAAAGACCCTCATCTCACCAAAAAAAAAAAAAAAGTAAAAAGATACATACTAAAAGATAATCTGTAACCTACGTATAATCAACAAGATTAGTATGTAGATGATGCAAAGAACTCTTATAAATAAAAAATACTAGCAGACTTATTTTTTTCTTTATTTTTTGAGAGAGTCACGCTCTGTAACTGAGGCTGGAGTGCAGTGGCATAATCTTGGCTCACTGCAACCTCCGCCTCCCAGGTTCAGCGCCCCTGAGGAGCTGGGACTACAGGCATGCGCCACTATGCCTGGTTAATTTTTGTACTTCTAGTAGAGACAGGGTTCTGCCATGCTGGCCAGGCTGGTCTTGAATTACTGGCCTCAACTGATCCATCCGCCTCAGCCTCCCAAAGTGCTGGGATTACAGGTGTACACCCTGCCCAGCCACAAGCCGATTTTTAAAAGGTCAAATGCTATGACAGCCATTTTACAGGAAAAAAAAAAATTGTATAGTTGTGGTGACGCTCCTCACACAGAGCACCAGCTTCAGGGAGTCTGTCCCTTGCAGACCCCTGACCCGGCAACGGATGAATGAGGTACACTGACACACAGATACTCTGCTTTGCCAGTCCAGCTGAGTGTGTCCAGGCTGTTTACAGACTCCCTGAAGAGTACTGTAAACAGTTGCAATGGCGGCCCTGACCAGCTAGTGAGACTCGCATTTATTCAGTAAAGATTAATTGACAAAGACTTGAGTCAACACCACTACGGGGTAACTGACATTGTGGACTTCCTGAGTAGAAAGCAGTTAAGCACCTGCGGTACATCAAAGATTAGTCTTAAGACCATATGAGTAAACAAGCTACCTAGATAACTTCCCCACATTCCTTTGTTATTACTCTAATTTATTTAACTAAAGGTAAAGATCAGGTCGCCTTCAACCATATCTATTACTGAAGTTATGCAAACTCTTAGGCCTTCCAAGAGGGTTTGTGGCTATCATCACTAATATTTTTTCCCACCAGCCTGACTGAACCCCTACATATAGTTACTAAACATTTGAAATGATGCTCAATGTTATTAGTAATCAGAAAATTACAAATAAAACCCACTGAAATACAGGTTGAGTATCCCTAATCCAATAATCTGAAATCCAAAATGCTCCAAAATCCGGAAGTTTTTGAGTATCAACATGATGCTCAAAGGTAATGCTCTTTGGAGCATTTCAGATTTCAGATTTTCAGACTACAGATGCTAACCAGTAAAAATAATGCAAGGAATCCAAAATCCGAAAAAAATCAAAATCTGAAACATTTCTGATCCCGAGCATCTTTAGCAGCATCCTTGGTCTCTAAAAAAAAAAAGAAAAAAAATGGCAAAGACCTGATAATACCACATGTTGGAGAAAATGTGGCTCAGTAGGAATTCTTACATATTGCTGGTGAGAAGGAACTACTTAGGAAAACAATTTATCATTGTCTCATAAAGACTAATACTGCATATCTTATTAGCAGCAAGACTACTGTCCTAGGTTTATACCCAAGAGAAACTTTTGATGAAGATAATCAATATCTATGTGTGCTAAAAGACATGATTATTCATAAAACAATGCTCACAGAAGCAAGAAACTGGAAACAATCCATTTATAGAATATGTTTAATCACACAAGTCATATATGGCAGTGAAAAGGAATGAGCTATAGCCATATGCAATAACATGACAATATTAGAAAAATTATGCATGAAAAAAATCCTGTGATTCTGGGGTTTTTTGTTTTGTTTTGCTGTTTGAGACAGGGTCTTGCTGTGTTGCCAAGGGTAGACTACAATGTCATGATCATGGCTCGCTGTAATCTCGAACTCCTGGATTTCAAAGTGGTCCTCTCGCCTTTGTCTCCCAAATAGCTAGAACTACAGGTGCATACCACCATGCCTGGCTTTTTTTTTTTTCTTTTTTGCCTTGCTGTTTTCTTGCCTTGTCTCATCAGTGTTTATATCATTAAAAAATAAAACAACCCAGTGCAGTGGCTGTTTTGTTTTTTAATGATATAAACACTCACAAACACACCACACAATCCAAGTAGCAGCAGCTTGGCAAAAGTCACCATCAAACTATGAAATCCTACTGAAACCATCCCTGTGCTTCTCGTGCACAGGTACTCGTTGATCTAAATGTTGCATTTATTGTGTTCTTGCTTTTTTCCCCCTTTTTTTGTGTGTGTTCTTGCTTTTAAAAGTAAAGCTATATATATGCCAAAACAAAAATTCGTTGTTTTCCAGTGTCATTAAAAACAGAATCTAGGCCGGGTGCAGTGACTCATGCCTATAATCCCAGCACTTTGGGAGGCTGAGGCGGGTGAATCACCTGAGGTCAGGAGTTTTAAGACCAGCTGGGCCAACATGGTGAAACCCCATCTCTACTAAAAATACAAAAATTAGCTGGACATGGTGGCACGTGCCTGCAGTCCCAGCTACTCAGAGGCTGAGGCAGGAGAATCACTTAACCTGGGAGGCGGACGTTGCAGTGAGCTGACATCGTATCGCTGCACTCCAGTGTGGGAGTCAGAGTGAGACTCCGTCTTTAAAAAAAAAAAAGAATCATAAGATTTTTCACTTGAGGGCAGTAATTCAAGACCAGCCCAGGCAACAGTTGTCTTTTGTAAAGACAACTGTCTTTACAAAATTAAAAAATTAGCTGGCACACACCTACAGTAAACTCATTTTTGGTAAAAGTGCCAAGAACATACACTGGGGAAAAGATAGTCTCTTGGTCAGGCACGGTAGCTCACGCCTGTAATCCCAGCACTTGGGAGGCCAAGGTGGGAGGATCACTTGAAGTCAGGAGTTCAAGACAAGCCTGGCTAACATGGTGAAATCCCGTCTCTACTAAAAACACAAAAACTAGCCCGGCGTGGTGGCAGGCATCAGTAATCCCAACTATTCAGGAGGCTGAGGCAGGAGAATCACTTGAACCAAGGAGGCAGAGGTTGCAGTGAGCCAATACTGCACCACTGCACTCCAGCCTAGGTGACAGAGCAAGACTCCGTCTGAAAAAAAAAAAAAGAGAGATAGTCTCTTCAATAATGGTGCTGGGAAAACTGGCTATCCATTACACAGAAGAATGAAACTATACCCCTATCTCTCGCCACATATGAAAACCAAATCAAATGGATTAAAGACTTAAATCTAAGACCAAATTATGAAACTACTACAAGAAAACACTGGGGAAAATCTCCAAGACACGGGTCTGGGCAAAAATTTCTTGAGCCATACCCCACAAGCACAGGCAACCAAAGCAAAAATGGCCAAATGGGATCACGTCAAGTTACAAAGCTTCTGCACAGCTGGGCACGGTGGCTCACGCCTGTAATCCCAGCACTTTGGGAGACAGAGCTGGGCAGATCACCTGAGGTCAGGAGTTTGAGACCAGCCTGACCAACATGGTGAAACCCCATCTCTACTAAAAATACAAAATTAGCCAGGCATGGTGGCACATGCCTGTAATCACAGCTACTCAGGAGGCTGAGGCAGGAAAATTGCTTGAACCTGGGAGGCGGAGGTTGCGGTGAGCTGAGATCGCACCATCGCACTCCAGCCTGGACAACAAGAACAAAACTCCATCTCAAAAAAAAAAAAAAAAAAAAAAAAAAAGCTTCTGCACAGCTAAAGAAACAATAAAGTGAAGAGACAAAGAATATTTGCACATCCCATCTGCCAAGGGATTAATAACCAGAATATATAAGGGGCTCAAACAACTCTACATGACAGTCTAATAATCCCATTAAAAAATGGGCAAAAGATTTGAATAGATATTTTTCAAAAGAATACAAATGGCAAACAGACATATATGAAAAGGGGCTCACCATCACTATTATCAGAGAAATACAAATCAAAACTACAATGAGATCTCATCTCACTCCAGTCAGAATGGCTTTTATCCAAAAGACAGGCAATAGCAATGCTGGCAAGGATGTGGAGAAAAGGGAACCCTTATACACTGTTGGTGGGAATGTAGATTAGTACAAACACTTTGGAGAACAGTTTGAAGGTTGCTCAAAAAACTAAAAGTAGAGCTACCATATGATTCAGCAATCCCACTGCTGGGTATATACCCAAAAGAAAGGAAATCAGTACATTGAAGAGATATTTGCACTCCCATGTTTGTTGCAGTATTGTTCACAATAGCTAAGATTTGGAAGCAACCTAAGTGTCCATCAACAGATGAATGGGTAAAGAAAATGTGGGATATATACACAATGGAGTACTACTCAGCCATAAAAAAGAATGAGACTCAGTCATTTGCAACAACATGCATAGAATTGGAAATTATTATATTAAGTGAAATAAGCCAGGCACAGAAAGACAAACGTCATGTGTTCTCACTGATTCGTGGAATCTAAAAATCAAAACAATTGAACTCATGTACTCATGTACGAAGAGAGTAGAAGGATGGCTACCAGAGGCTGGGAAGGCTAGTGGAAGGCTGGGGAGAAGGTGGGGATGATTAATGGGTACAAACAAAAATAGGAAGAATAAATAAGACCTACTATTTGACAGCACAACAGGGTGACTATAGTCAATTATAACTTAATTGTACATTTTAAAATAACTTAGTGTAATCGGATTGTTTATAACACAAAGGATAAATGCTTGAGAGGATAGATAAAGAAAAAAATAAAATTCATTCTAAAAATAAAAAATTAGCTAGGCATGGTGGCTCGCACCTGTGGTCCCAGCTACCCAGGGGGCTAAGGTAGAAGGATCACTTAAGCCCAGGCTGTTGAGGCTGCAGTGAGCCATGTTCATGCCACTGCACTCCAGCCTGGGTGACAGAGTGACACTTTGCCTCAAAAAAAAAAAAAAAAAAAAACCAAAGACAAAATAAAATAAAATAGACCAATAATGACAGTATGTTGTGAATCAAGAGTTACAGTAATTCCGCATACCTGAGATCCATTATGCCACTCCCTACACACACACACACACACACACACACACACACACACACACACACACACAGAGAGAGAGAGAGAGAGAGAGCTGAAAACAGCACAGAAGGCTGTCTCTTCCCTTTTCCCCACACCCCTACCTGTGTCCGAGCATTGAGCAGCTGCTGGAAGCTCTCAACCTCTTTGCTGTCATCTGCAGCCCGCTCCTAAGGGAAGACAAAGGGAAATGTCTAGTTTGGGGAAAGCAGTCCTTCACTTCAGGATGTCCCCTTCATTCCACACTTATTGTACTAAGCTGGACACTGTGCCAGACTCCAAGAGTAAAACACTGAACAAGACAGGCATCATCTCTGCCCTCACAGAGCTAACAGCAGTGGGGGAAACCGAATTTTCTGGGTAGGAAGGCAAGGAGAAGGAGCACCTATTACCATCAGCACACCCAGCATCATGTCATAGTTGTTGATCAGAAACACAAGCTGCTCCTTCCTTGAGGAGAACTCAGCTGCCACTCGGAGGACAAAATTCTCCACCTCCACCTGAAAAGGCAGAGAGGAAGAGGTGACACCAGAAAGCAAGGTCATCTGGGCCCCATCTGGCTCCTCCTCAGACTCCACCCACTGGAAGCAGCCCTGCTGCTGGGAAGTGTCTCCTGTCCGACCCTCACCTGCAGCTGTCCCAGCAATTGCATGGTCCGTTCATTAGGAATTGTCTGGTTGATACTGACAAGAGCGGAGGAGAACTCTGCATAGCGGCGTGTGATCTAGGAGAGAGTGGGAAGGAAAATCACACCCACCTCCTGGCCCAACCAACACAACCTCCCAACTTCCTTAGCCAACCCACCTCCATGTGATGTGACTCTACCTTCAGTCCCTCCTACCCACAGTGCACCACTCACCATGAGTTTCACCACCCTCCCAGAACACCTGCTCATAGCATGGCCCATGACACAACTGTGACCTTGGCCAACCCCCACAATGATGCTTAGAGCCCTGCCTTTCAAGAACCCTTTGTTACCCTTGCCCTCCCTCACATAGTGGGGCCGAGTATCCAACCCCCCTAGGCGCTGGGGGTCAGTGCTTCGGACGCTCTGAACATTCATCTCCAGGATCAGTTCAAACCGTGGCCATAGCAAGGCAAGCACCTGTTCCCAGTACCTGTGGGCTTAATCAGAATCAGAGGTCAGCCAGCAAGGAATGTTGGAGGGGGATGGGAGGGAGTGGGGCATCATTCAGTTTAATGGTCAATAGCTAGTTGTGGGGGTTGGGGGGCAGTGGTTGGAGAAAGGTGAGTCAAAAAGCAGCACTACTGCCTCCGGAGCAAATGAATGGGAATAAAGGTTGATGATACCAGGTCAGTAGGAGTCTAAGGTCAGGGCAGAGTCATGCAAGACCAAGAGAGTTTGTGGCCTGTTGGGCATCAAGGACCAGAATTCAGTGACCTGTCCAGGGCAGGAACATCCCTCTTTGCTGCAATGTTACGGAACCGGAGAACAATGTGGATACAGAGAAAAACAGCAATGGCATCGTAGCAGTCAGCTAGATAAGAATCCAGGTGTTTCTGTGTGATTGGGGAACAAACAGAGGATTAAAAGAGAATGTCAGTTTGTTGTCCTCAGTGACTATGAACAAACGCATTTGTTTCTTTGGGGATGATGCACTGGACAGGACAGAAGGGAGAGACGTAAAATGGAACTGCCCCCTGCTTTCCTGTCCAGGATCTATGTTTTTGGCTTTTTTTTTGTTTTTTGAGATAGAGTTTCACTCTTGCCACCCAAGCTGGAATGCAGTGGCACAATCTCGGCTCACTGCAACCTCCGCCTGCCTCCCAGGTTCAAGCAATTCTCCTGCCTCAGCCTCCTGAGTAGCTGGAATTATAGGCGCCTGCCACCACGCCCGACTAATTTTTGTATTTTAGTAGAGATGGGGTTTCATCATGTTGGTCAAGCTGGTCTCGAACTCCTGACCTCAGGCGATCCGCCCACCTCAGCCTCCTAAAGTGCTGGGATTACAGGTGTGAGCCACTGCACCCGGTGTTTTCGGCTTTAGAGACAGGTTGTTTTGTCACCTAGGCTGGATTGTAATGGTACAATCATAGTTCACTGCAGCCTCAAACATCTGGGCTCAAGTGATGTTCCCACCTCAGCCTGCCAAGCAACTGGGACCATGGGTGTGTACCACCATGCCTGGTTAAGTTTATTTTTAAATTTTTTGTAGAGACAAGGTCTTGCCGCATTGCCCAGGCTGGTCTCGAACTCCTGGCCTCAAGCAATCTTCCTGCCTTGGTCTCCCAAAGTACTGGGATTGCAGGCATAAGCCACTGCACCTGGCCACACCAGGATCTATGATCACAAGCCTATCACAGCAGAGTTCAGGGCTGAGCTTGGGTCAGGGGTTTGAGCACCAAGATTTGGGGGACCCTCAGTTTTCACGTGCTATTGCCTGATTGTGGGTCAGCAGTAGGGGTAGTCTCAGGGACCCTACGCACTGAGGATTTCATGGGGGAGTAACACTGACAAGTCTAAGTAACAAGTTTTTTTTTTGAGATGGAGTCTCGCTCTGTCACCCAGGCTGGAGTGCAATGGCGCAATCTTGGCTCACTGCAATCTCCTCCTCCCAGGTTCAAGCAATCCTCCTGCCTCAGCCTCCCGAGTAGCTGGGATTACAGGCCGCGCACACCTGGCTAATTTTTGTACTGTTAGTAGAGACAGGGTTTCATCATGTTGGTCAGGCTGGTCTCAAACTCCTGACCTTGTGATCCTCCCGCCTCAGCCTCCCAAAGTGCTGGGATTACAGGCGTAAGCCACTGCACCTGGCTATTTTTTTTTTTTTTTTTTTTTGAGACAGGTCTCACTCTGGAGTGCATGGCTCACTGCAGCCTTGACCTCCTGGGCTCAAGCAATCCTTCCACCTCAGCATCTTTAGTAGCTGTGACCACAGGCACACATCAACACACACCCGGCTAATTTTTCATTTTTTGTAGAGATGAGGTTGTTGCCCAGGCTGGTCTCAAACTCCTGAGCTCAGGCAATCCTACTGCCTTGGACTCCCAAAGTGCTGGGATTATGGGTGTGCACTACCACGCCCAGCCAAGGCTTAGACATTTTAGAATGAGGCGATCCTGATTTCAGTTCTACCAGAGTCATGACCCCACTATGCTGCTGATGAAGACTGGGGACAAAGGTGTTGAATGGTACAGGAAACAGGAGTCTTACCAGGGTCATGCTGAGTGTACGGCCCATGACAGCATGGAACAGGTCGTGTGCAGCTGGGCCAGACACAACAAAAAATTCACAGATGAAAAGGTATTCGCGGCAGGAATTGTCTAGGAGGGCGTAGTGCTGGCTGCGGAAGAGGGCCTCAAATGGATACTGGGAGAGGAGGAGTAAAGAAGAAAAACAGAAGGGATGGACCCCAACACTGACTTCCCATGGATATGGCTGGAAAATCAGTAAACCTGAGTAATAAGAGCTAGGCAGACCCTTCGCATCTATCTAGGTCCGGGCTGTCTAAGAGCAAGCTGAATGGGCACTGAAAAGGTGGGGGAACATAGGGGTACAAAAAGGGCCTACACCCACCTGCTGTTGCTACTCCTGCATCCACCTCAACACCTGCCTCTGACTGTCATTCCCCTCATCCAGTCTCTCCCCTCTGCATGCCCTTAAGTCAATGGTTCCCAGCTCTTTTCACATCACAGCAGGCTGGAGTGATTGGAGAAGGCCACTCCCAAGTCTAAGGGGATTAAGACAGGGCCTGCAGGTTGGGAAGCTCTGCCCTGAGGTCTGGCCTTCCCTCCCCACCGTGCTCAGAGCCTCTTTCGTGACTGAAGCTTGTTCCTCCTCATACCCTCTGCTCTCCGCGCTGCGCTGTGTGAGGCACCAGGATGGGGGCCTCAAGTTCAGTGGGGGAGATGACAGAGCCGCGGGTTCCTAGGGTGAAAATGGTGTTCCTGCTGCGGAGCGATGGCTTTGAGAAGAATCGTAAGATGGGTCAGAGTCAGGGAAAACAATGAGACCATAACTGGGCCCAAAGACTCACTATCTGTGGGGACCCCAGACAGGCAGACGTGGCCTAGCCAGCCCTCTTTCCCAGTACTAGGGCCCCACGTGCTGACATCTGTGAATGGGCTTCAGGGTGTCTCTCCCTCCCTTGCAATCATATGCAAAACTATGTGTCAAAATAATGTGTGCATCTTTCTGGGGAGGGAGGCTATAGCTTTCATCACATTCTAAAAGGTTTCAGTCCCATAGGAAAAGGTAAGGAGCAGTGCATTGGTGGCTGGAGTCGAAAGTCCTCCCACTCTCAAGGCCTGGCATGAGGGTTCCCCAGTACTAGGATATCTTTCTTTGCTGTATCTTCCACACCCATTAGATCATCTTTCTCAGCGACTTCCTCATACTAAGGAAAGAGAAAAGAGAACTGATAACCGTCTCTTCCCACAACACAATAAAATATTCCTTGCCCAGGGATGTCCCCTCCTCCCAGTCCATGTGCCCAGGAATACCTCTCCCTCCTGACCTTACCTGCACCTTCATGAGCCGCCCCAGGTAAGAGCGGTAGTAAGACAGGTAAATCTTGCTCAGCGTCTCCACATATTCATCCCTGATCTCCTTTGCTGTTGCTCGTTCATTGCCCAACAGAAACTGATAGAAGAACCTAGGGGGTCAGGAACATGTCAGTCTACCTGTCTCCCAAGAAACCAGATGCCCACACTAGGCCGCTCAAAAACTCAAAGGCCATCCCATGCACTTCCTTGGGGTTGTGACCTGTACTTCAGCAGGGCCGTCTGGGGGATCTGATAGTTGGTCATGGGTTTCCTGAAGGAATAAATCTTCTGGAGGATAAACTCTCGGATCTTCGTCACTGCCTAGATGTGGGGAACCAAACACAGGGCATGAAGCTGCAACCCTTTTGCTGTATGAGAGGAACTGGGGGAAGCAACAAATGGTAAACATAGGCAGAAGGGTGGTGAATATCTCTTTGGTATTTCTCAAGATTTTCAGGGAAACCCAGAGAGACAAGAATGGGGCTGCCCAGAAAAGGCAGGGTGAAGTCCCTGGAGACAGGCTACAGTGAGCTCTGCCAAGGAAATCCATAGTGAAGATCTTGGGAAGGCTGCTTCCAGTAGCCTCCAGGGTATCCATCCCTACTTCCCACCTTGACCCGGAGCCGATCGAGCACGCCTCTGACATCTGCGCAGGCTGCTGTGCCTCTAGCTTCCTGCTCTCTGACTGCGGCTGCCTTGGCATCCAGCTCCTGTAGCTGCTCCAAGAACCTGGGCTCTGTCACTGGAGCCTCCAGAATTGCCCTGGTTAGCAGGGAGGGGTGGGATGAGTTACAAGGGAGACCCAGACATCCCTAAACCAGACCCAGACCACACTCCTTACCTCCAGCCCCTGTCATCTCTACCACCTTGCATTGTACCATATAGTCAGGACACATGTACAAAGTTTTCTATTCCTGGACCTCCCCACTATACACCTGATCTTACATCATTCTTAATCTTAATCTTTGATGCCTAATGCATACCTAAAGAAATGGTGGTTAACCTGGCTACTAATTTCTAAAAAGCACTTAACCTGGAGCCAGGAGACCCATATGGTAAATAGGGTGGGTCACCCCAGCCCATCCACCTGCTATGGACATTATAACCCTTCAAACTGGTAACTCACGTGACCAGAGCAGAAGGCACCACCAGACCATCAACAAGCTCCCCAAGTTTCCCCCGAACTGCCTGGCGATTTCGAAGTCGAATGTTCATGGCTCCTGACTGTTCCTGCAGTGTCCGGATCTCAGAGCTGATGGAGCTGAGGTCACTCTGAAAAGCTCCCAACATCTGCTCCATTCGCTGTAGGGAGGGTAGATGTTGCCGGAGTGCTATAGGGTTTGTAGGGGATAAGTGGGCCACCAAAGACTCTTTGTGAAGTCTTCAGTATTTATCAGTCCTTGAGGGTGGCAGATGATGAGACACCCCAGATTATCAGGAAATAACATTAAATATGGCAGTAATAACAAAAAAGGCTCCTGAAGTCATCTTGAAAATGACCCTAACCTGTCCCCATCTTGAGGCTGATGACCTAAAAATGGCACCAGAGTCCATGATCTGGTTCAGAGTAGCTATTAGGGGTCACAGGTCATGATTACTAACCTCCAGGACAGCATCACAGGCTGTGATCTGGTTGTGTAGAGATGCTATATTCTCACTCTCTTGAATATCTGATCCACAAAAAGTCAAGGGGCCTCATGGTGAAGATGGGAGATCCTCAGATTTGTAGTACCTCTCCAATTTCTCTTTGAAGTGATAGAAACCTCAGAGATGTTGACCCCAGCTGGGACATCTGTACCACACGCCACAAAATCCCCATGTCAATAGCACCACCCCTTCCCTCTGCTGGAGGATACAATCCCGAATGGATTTCTGTTCAATCTGCTGTAGCTCCAGCTCAACTTGCTTTGAATAGTGACGGAGATCTACACCCTGGGAGAACATAAAGATGACAGGTCAGAAGGAAGTCTCAGTAAAGGGACACTGTAACAGAATCAGTGAAGGACTAAAGGGTCAGATACCAGGCTGATACAACAAAAGCAAGAGACTGTTGTTTTTCCTTTTGGGGTAGAATAGATAGAAGGGCAGATTAGTACAGGGGAAAGCCTCACCGTTTTAAGAGCTTCCTTTACTAACTCATCCTCCAGATTTGCCTGAATGTGAACTGGAAATAGAAGTTTATCATAAGGGTCCAGCTCCACAGCTCCCTCTCCCCACATTGAGTATCTGCACACCAATCCCTACCTTATTCCTTCCAGCCCCCATGCCTCTCAGATTACAGGTACTGCACCCACCCCATGCCATCGCTTACCATCCACTTCATCCAGGATGAATTCATCAGAAGTGATATCCAACTCCCCAAGTTGCAGTGGTTCCTGGAGCCCAGGACCACCCGCCTGGAAAGGGATAAGTTAATGGGAGTAGGGTACGGTGAAAGACAGAAAGAAAAAATATAATTGGATATCCCCAGTCCTTCAAGTGAGAAGGAGCTGCTTTTACTGGGAGCCACAGGTACTGCTTTGAAAAATTCTAAGAGTCTCACGTTGTACCCACTCTCCTATTTTGTGCTGATGGGTAAGGAATACGACAAGGAGTGAGACGATCCAGTGAGACAGTGGAGGTAGCCCAGCATGGTGGTGGGCTCCTTGTAGTCCCAACTACTTAGAAGCTGAGACGGGAAGATTGTTTGAGGAGATCAGGAGTTCAAGGTCAACCTGGGTAACACAGGGAAACCCGTCTCAAGAAAACAAAAAAAGGTAAAAGACAAGACAGTGCAGTGGAGGCCGGACGCAGTGGCTCACGCCTGTAATCCCAGCACTTTGGGAGGCCGAGGTGGGAAGATCACGAGGTCAGGAGATCGAGACCATCCTGGCTAACACAGTGAAACCCCGTCTCTACTAAAAAATACAAAAAATTAGCCGGGCGCGGTGGCGGGCGCCTGTAGTCCCAGCTACTTGGGAGGTTGAGGCAGGAGAATGGCGTGAACCCGGAAGGTGGAGCTTGCAGTGAGCCAAGATCGCGCCACTGCACTCCAGCCTGGGCGACAGAGCAAGACTCCGTCTCAAAAAAAAAAAAAAAAAAAAAGTGCAGTGGAGATGACCGAATGAGGAAAGCTAGGAATTGCAGAGGATAGAGCAGAACTTGCACTTAAATTTAAGACCCTCAGACTCCTGCCATCTTGGGTGTTCTATCACACCTCTGGGGAACCCCAGGCTTTCTAGAAATGTCAAAACACATAGTGTTTACCTGCATGCCAGGTGCAATCTTACACATATTCATCTAATCCTAACGACGATGTATACAATAGGTTCTATCTTCCTCACCTTAAAGGTGTGAGAAATGATGGCACAGAGAAGCTGGTTAACTTGCCCAAGGGCACACAGCGTGTAAGTGGCAGAGATAGAACTCAGGCAGTCTGGCTTCAGAGGCCATGTTCTTAACCTTTACACTATACTACTTCGTGACTCTACCCCAAAATGTGGAGTGAAGTTGAAATTTTGTGCCCCAGAACATGAGTTTCAGCCACTAGGGTCCCGCTCAGGGTCGGGTCTGATCACAGGGAAGGGTACGGGGAGCCAAACAGGTAATATCACGGGTAGCAGCCAAGTTCCCACCCTTGTGCCTAAACCCAGCTCAGGTCTTTCTGAAGCTAGGAGCACCGGAACTACGGAGGAGAAACAGCTCCGCGCTCTCACCAGCGGGCCCTCTTCCTCCTCCATATCTGAGGTCCCAGCCCGCAACACCAGTTCCCGGGCCGCAGCCGCCATGGTCGCAGCGGCGGCCATTCCCCGCAGCCTCACTTCCGGCAACTGTCAGTCCCGGCGAGTCCGTTCCCCGGAGTGGAGCTACAAGTCCCAAAGGGTCTTCCTCAGCGCGAAATCGTTCCCAGATATTTGAGTTAAGTTGTTTGACTCCAGCTGTCCCCTTTCAGCTCTAACCACTTCACCCAACTGCAAATGGAAATATGGAAGTCTGAAACACAAACTAGCCCCGGAACCTTCGCTGTTCTCTTACCTATGAACCTTACGAACTGTAAAGAAAGGCGCACCGGAAGTTGTGGTACCCAAGCCATACTCTCATAAATCCAGCCAGGTCGCGCTGAAACAGTTTCCGGAAGCACTTCTCCTAGATCGCACCGCCTCTTCCTCCTGGAAGCTATATAATGATATCGCGTCACTTCCGCTCTCTCTTCCACAGGAGGCCTACACGCCGCCGCTTGTGCTGCAGCCATGGTAAGACTGGAATCCGTGCCGTGATCCAGCGGCATCGCAGCTCGGGCAAGGAAAGCCGGCTGTCAGGGTTCTGGAAACGTCCTGCCCTGAGGGCCTGCGACTTTCTGTATGGAGCCTTGGATCGCGTCCCTGGAAAGGGACACCAAAGATTTCCAATTCCGGAGAGCGGGCCCGAGGAAGGGTCACTGCTCGGGCGCACGAAAGCTGTCTAAGGCTTGGGCGTATATGGGGAACTCTGGCTTTTGCCACGCACTTTTGGGAATGGGCAGGAGACCTGCTTCCTCTCTCCAGAGGTTGCATTTTCCCAAGCTTGAACGCTTCATGTGCCTACTCTGCAGGACTGAGGAGTTTGCTCTGTGGTGTGAAAACCTAAGGAATGGGGGGCGGGTGTCTTGCCACTTGTGTGACAGGCTTAACCTTTTTGTATGAAGTTCGTTTGCCTTATCGGCCTTACTGTTTGATAGTTTACTGTGTCTGATTTCTTCCCCCGTACTTTTTCAACTAGTCTCTAGTGATCCCTGAAAAGTTCCAGCATATTTTGCGAGTACTCAACACCAACATCGATGGGCGGCGGAAAATAGCCTTTGCCATCACTGCCATTAAGGTAAGTGAAGTAGGGTAAGGAATAGGGAATGTAAATGAGAATTGGGTTGTGAAGACATAAGCAAAAATGAAGCAAGGCTGGGGAGACTTGAGTCTCATCCAGATCACCTTGACTGCTGGATTAAGAAAAGAAAGTGGTTTAGGGAGAGACTGACCCCTTTAGCATTTACCACAGAAAATAAGTGATTAAAGCCAAGATAGTGGTCTAAGGTCAAGCCAAAACATTTCACCTGGGGAAGTGGGGAGGAGGTATGGTTGCTCACCCGAATTCGCTAAGATTTTCCTGAACCACGAGCTTGTGAGATTTCTTCTAGATTCGGTTTCTTTACCCATCCCACCATCATAACAGCAACCCTTCCTGCGAAATTTATATTCCCTGAGAATTGGAGGATTATTGGGCATCTTGAGGGATAAGTAGAAATACCAACAGATAAAAAGTGTGAAGAAGCCTGTAGATGGAGGGTGGAAGAAGTCTGAGTGGGACATTTACTCAGATGAGCCATAATTGACACTCCTTTCCTGTCGAAGTGTGAAGGAGTACATCCATCTTTCTTTGGCTTTTAAGAATCGAATAAATGAATGCAAGAATATTATTTCACTTGAGTATTTCTCTCCACAAACCTAATGAATTCCTGGCTTTGTAGATACATAACGTTCTTTTTTTTTTCCTTAAGTCAGAATGTGTAGTTAGTTGTGGAAATAGCCTACCAGTATGTGTCCATGCGTGCAGGGCTAGGCCTGTCTTCTTGGCTTCTGTTGCATGGTAGGTACTTAGGCGACGTTAGGGAATGGATAGTAGTAGGGATACTGTTGGCTCTGTTGAGGAATTTGTAGAGGGAAATTCCTTCTGTTGGGTGCTCTGTGAAACTAATAAGGCAGTGTGAAATACTGTACTTATTTCAGAGACCGGCTGTGAGGCTTAAGTAGAGGTGCAGCATTCATAAGTGTAATAGAGAATAACCTTCATGGATGTATCTAACTAAAAATTAGAAATCTTATTTCATCTATATCTCTTCCCACACCCATTTTGAAGTAAATCTTTTCACTTGTAAACATATAATTAAATTTGAGGCTTAGTGCAGTGGCTCACTCGGAGGCTGAAGTGGGCGGATCCCCTGAGGTCAGGAGTTCGAGACCAGCCTGGTCAACATGGTGAAACCTCGTCATTTAATTAATAAATAAATTTGAAAGACCCTGCTCTCTTCTGAATCAACCTAATAATTTGACCCTTGGTCATGTTTATTTATTTATCCCGAGACAGAGTCTCACCCCGTCACCCAGGCCGGAGTGCAATGGTGCAATCTTATCTCACTGCAACCTCAGCCTCCCAAGTAGCTGAGATTACAGGCACACGCCCAGCTAATTTTTGTATTTTTAGAAGAGATGGGGTTTCACCATGTTGGTCAAACTGGTCTTAAACTTCTGACCTCAGGTGATCCACCCACCTCAGCCTCCCAAAGTGCTGGGATTATAGGCGTGAGCCACTGCACCCAGCCACATTTATTTTTTGAGACTGTCGCCCAGGCTGGAGTGGCGGAATCACTCTTCACTGCAGCCTCGACCTCCAGGGCTCAAGTCAATCCTCCTACCTCAACTTTCCAAGTAGTTGGGGCTACAGGTGTGCACCACCACATCTGGCTAATCTGGATCTTGCTGTGTTGTCCAGGCTGGTCTTGAACTCCTGGGCTCAGTGATCCTCCAGCCTCAGCCTCCTAAAGTGCTGGGATTACAGGCATATAGGCATGAGCCACGGTGAAGCCAACCCTTGATCTCTTTCTTGCAGATAGGAACTGCCATTTGTTTTAGTTTCCTGGAGCCTACTGTAACAAGTTCATATAAACTAAGCAGAAAATTACTCTTGGCGCTGGAGGCACTTAAGAATCCTACCTTGCCTCTTCCTGTCTTCTGGTGGTTGTCAGTAATCCTTAGTGTTCCTTGGCTTGTAGCTGCATTACTCCAATCTGTTGCTGTCATCTCATGGTCCTCTTCGTGTCTCTCTCATGATTTGTCATTGGATCTAGAGCCCACCCTAATCAAATATAACGTCATTTTACCTAATTATTTCCGTAACGACCTTATTTCCAAATAGGGCCACATTCTGATGTTCTAGTTGGACAAAATGAGGGGCAGGGCTCAGTATTCAGTTCCTCCTTCACTCTCCAAATCACTTTGGTTCATGAGTTCAGATGGCATGGGTGCTAGTGCTGGTGTTGATGTGATGCTACCAATGTAAGCATTAGTTTCTTTTTATAATAACTTGGGCAGTCAGTTCTGGGCACTGACAAAATTGAGTTTGTGATCTTGGAATACTTTGATTATGGGGATACAGTGATTTGCCTAAATAATTGTGACCCTTAGAGATTCTGAGGAACTGACAGCCCAATACCTTAATCAAAGCCTGTAACTCATAAGACCCTGGTTTACTGCATCAGCTTGGAGTGGCAGGCCCCTTGTTCTCCTAAATGCAAGAATCAGAAGGCACTTAGTGACAACTACATATGCTGAGCAATGGGGGAAAAAAAAGATACTGCCTGCTTTCAAAGGGTTGTCTGTAATACTAAATTCTGTGTTCATGATTCAGTCATACCCCTGAACAAAGTTACTTTTTTCTTTTTTTGAGACGGGGTCTCACTGTCGCCCAGGTTAGAGTGTGGTTGCGTGATCTTGGCTTGCTGCAACCTCCACCTCCTAGGTTCAAGCTATTCTGCTGCAGCCTCCCAAGTAGCTGGGATTACAGGCACCTGCCACCATGCTCAGCAACTTTTCTTGTATTTTTAGTAGAGACAGGGTTTCACCATGTTGGCCAGGCTGGTTTTGAACTCCTGCCCTCAATGTCATCTGCCCACTTGGGCCTCCCAAAGTGCTGGGATTACAGGCGTGAGCCACTGCGACCGGCCCAAAGTTAACCTTCTGTCGAACGGTTTATATCTGGAAAGGTGGGTGAGGAAAGGGTGACCTAGGGGATTGCAAAATAGATTATTGCAGATCCTACCTTTGTGAGCTTTTTGAATGAGGCTATAAAGGAATTTAAAAATCAGATTCAACACTAATTCCGAAACCCCTCACTTCATTCAGGGTGTGGGCCGAAGATATGCTCATGTGGTGTTGAGGAAAGCAGACATTGACCTCACCAAGAGGGCGGGAGAACTCACTGAGGATGAGGTGAGGACAAGGAAGGGGGCTGGGGGTGGGGTCAGCCTCAGAAAGGGGTCCATCTAGATCTGACCTTGGTCTGCCTGCCAGGTGGAACGTGTGATCACCATTATGCAGAATCCACGCCAGTACAAGATCCCAGACTGGTTCTTGAACAGACAGAAGGATGTAAAGGATGGAAAATACAGCCAGGTGTGTACTGAAATGAGGGCAGGATTAGAGGAAGGGTGGAGGGTCCTAACAGAATTGGGCATAGGAGGTCAGGGGATAAAACATCCCTTGCCCCCTCCTCTGAATCCAGGTCCTAGCCAATGGTCTGGACAACAAGCTCCGTGAAGACCTGGAGCGACTGAAGAAGATTCGGGCCCATAGAGGGCTGCGTCACTTCTGGGGGTGAGTGGGGGGTCTCATCTCCCTGCCTACCTCGACTCAGCATTCCTCCTACTCGCTCTTCTTTTTCCCCAACCTTTTGTTTCTGCTGTGCATGACCTGTGACTCTTCTCTTTTTACCTGCAGCCTTCGTGTCCGAGGCCAGCACACCAAGACCACTGGCCGCCGTGGCCGCACCGTGGGTGTGTCCAAGAAGAAATAAGTCTGTAGGCCTTGTCTGTTAATAAATAGTTTATATACCTATGGCTTCCTGTCCTTTCTGTCCATTCTAATAGGGAATGTTAAAGTGCTGGGTCCTTTTTCCATTTAGAGCTGCCCTACTCAGTTGCCCACACAGTGCTATTAGTTTTAGCAGTGGTGATGCTGCAGACCCCCCAGTCTCCCTATATGTAGCTAGTGATGTCCCTCTCTGTAAAGAGAAATGTGAGGGTAAAACAGTTCAGCCTTGAGGGGCTGACCCAGACCAGTTTAGAGACCAACACCCTGGGGTTGGTGTGCAGCATCATTGTGGAGTGGGTTAGCTGAGCCTAGCCAGTTGCAGTTAAGGTGAGTTTGCAGGTCTTGGTCACTCTGGGTTTTTTTGTTTTTGTTTTTGTTTTTTTTTAAGGGGTCATCTAGTCATAAGGGAAAATCCTTCGGGCTGTGACCGAAGCAACAAAGGCAAAAACGCGGACGTTGGTTATGAAGGGTGTGGTCTCCCTGGTGGAGTACGTCGGTGGGTTGGGATGGGGAGCGGCTGGACAGACCGGTCTCACTCCGTTTGGTGCCACTCCACCCGCCCGGGTTTCCGCGCCCTGCCGCGCTGCTCCGACGCCGCTTCCGGCGGGGATGGGAGCGCGCAACGCGGAAGCGGGCGGCAGACCGGCCGCCGGGGCGAGGCGGGGGAGGGGCCGTGAGTGCCGCAGTCGGCCAGCCATGGAGCGGAGCTTGCTGGCGGCGAGGCCGCGGCGACAAGGTAGCCACCCCCGCAGCATGCCTCGACCGCGGTCCGCAGCTGCACCGCCTCTCCCCGCCCCCCAGGGTGCGCTGGTCCCGGTCGCGCGCTCAGACCTCCGCATCCCGGGCGTGGTCGGTTAAGTCCCCGGCCGTGACCCAGGCCCGGGGAGCTAGTCTCCGCCCTTCGCTCTTACGGATCCCCTCGGAGTACGCCGCACCATGCAGCTCAGGCTCTTCCGGCGCCTCCTTCTCGCCGCTTTGCTGCTGGTGATCGTCTGGACCCTCTTCGGGCCTTCGGGGTTGGGGGAGGAGCTGCTGAGCCTCTCACTAGCCTCCCTGCTCCCAGCCCCCGCCTCACCGGGGCCGCCCCTGGCCCTGCCCCGCCTCTTGATCCCCAACCAGGAAGCTTGCAGTGGTCCCGGGGCCCCTCCCTTCCTGCTCATCCTGGTGTGCACGGCTCCGGAGAACCTGAACCAGAGAAACGCCATTCGGGCTTCGTGGGGCGGGCTGCGCGAGGCCCGGGGGCTCAGGGTACAGACGCTATTCTTGCTGGGAGAGCCGAACGCACAGCACCCCGTGTGGGGTTCCCAGGGGAGTGACCTGGCCTCGGAGTCAGCAGCCCAGGGGGATATCTTGCAGGCCGCCTTCCAGGACTCCTACCGCAACCTCACCCTAAAGACCCTCAGCGGGCTGAACTGGGCTGAGAAACACTGCCCCATGGCCCGATACGTCCTCAAGACGGACGATGATGTGTATGTCAACGTCCCTGAACTGGTATCAGAGCTGGTCTTGCGAGGGGGCCGTTGGGGGCAATGGGAGAGAAGCACGGAACCCCAGAGAGAGGCTGAGCAGGAAGGAGGCCAGGTTTTGCACAGCGAGGAAGTGCCTCTTCTGTACTTGGGCCGGGTGCACTGGCGCGTGAACCCCTCTCGGACACCGGGGGGCAGGCACCGCGTATCAGAGGAGCAGTGGCCTCACACCTGGGGCCCCTTTCCACCCTATGCCTCAGGCACGGGGTATGTGCTGTCAGCGTCTGCTGTGCAGCTCATTCTCAAGGTGGCCAGCCGGGCACCCCTTCTCCCATTAGAGGATGTCTTTGTGGGGGTAAGTGCCCGACGAGGAGGCCTCGCCCCAACACAGTGTGTCAAGCTGGCTGGTGCCACCCACTACCCGCTAGACCGGTGCTGCTATGGGAAATTCCTGCTGACGTCCCACAGGCTGGACCCCTGGAAGATGCAGGAAGCCTGGAAGCTGGTGGGTGGCTCTGACGGGGAAAGGACTGCGCCCTTTTGCTCCTGGTTCCAGGGAGTCCTGGGCATCCTGCGGTGTCGAGCAATAGCCTGGCTTCAGAGCTGAGAGTGCCTGGGGCCACAGGAAAGGCAGGAACAGGACCTTCTCTCTCCCAGGCCCAACGCAGGGGCCCTCACTGGCTGCAGCTGATCTGTTTCCTTATACCAGATCCTCAGTCTCACTAAAGACAGCGATATGGGAGACACCCAGGGGCCTGGCCCGCCAGCCCAAAAGATGGTCATCGGGAAGAGAAAAAGAAAAAAATGCTGCAGTTGTTCTCTCAAGCTAGGGCAGAAGAGGGGTGTCAAGCTCCTCAATAAACTTGTCTCCACTTCTTCGAGTGCAGTGTGGTCTTCACCAGGACCCCCAGAACACCACAAACCTGGAGAGCCCAGAGGCTGCCAGACCCTGCTGCATGGGAAGGACATCTCCAGGGACATGGGAGAGAGGACAGCCTCTCTGAGGAGGAAGGCCCCTAAAAGGCAAAGCTAAGGCCACAGCAGCCACAAGGTATGGGGTGGGGGTAGAGGCAGGACACTGACCCCTCCGATCCTAGAATGGCCTCATGCTTGGCAAGGGGGAGGGGAACAGGTCCACAAGATGATCCAGACACATTATCCAAAAAATCGCTTTCCTCTTTAATACCAACCCACCCCAGGAGACAGCTGTCCACCCCCAGTTGGGGAAGGGGCCACACTGCCCCCACCTCCTTGTTCCAGGGAACACTCATTTCCCTACAGGTGATCTTGGGGAGAGACTGTTCCCAGGCAACCCTGGAGTCTGGCTCAGCGCACAAATCTGTCCAGGGCAGATGGCCGGGCCCCCGTGGGCTTGGCCTTCGCCTCCTTATGATGCTGCTGCTGAAGGCTCTGCCGGACCTTGTCCTGGGGACCGGAGACGGGGAGGACACAGGCACAGAGTGAGAAGTGGCAGGCTGACAAGGGCAGAGGCACAAGCAGGAGGGTGCAGCCTGTGGAAGGCCCGGCCCATGCCAATGCTCATTTACCCTGTGTTCCTCATCCATGACCTTCCTCTTCCTCTTCACCAGGCTTGCCGTGGAGCTGCGGCCCTTCTGCTTTGGCTTTGGCTGGAAGGGAGCCTTAGCCTGCGGGTCATAGCCCTGAGGGAGGGGACAGGAGTGATATCTGTTACAGCCTCGGAGTCAGGGAACTGGCAGCACCCACCTGCTGGCCGCACTTCTGGGGACAAGCCATGGTGGGGAGAGGATGTGGGGGAGAAGACGGGCCTGGGCATTCAGGGGCCTGCTCCATACCAGCCTCTCTATCTGCTCCTTCTTTCCCTGCTCCAGGGAGATGACATCCACCTCGGCCAGGGCTCGTGGGTCCAGACAAATAAGCTCTGCAGGTACCTGGGGGTGTCACAGAGGGACAGGACTCAGCAAGGAGCCACAGGAGGGTAGCACCAAAAAGAGAAGCCAGGGAGGCTGCTGAACCCCTCTACCCAAGACCCCCAGCATGAGACATCAGGAGAGCTTTCTCTACCTCCAACCCCAAACCACACCTTCCCCAGCAGCAGGGGCCTCACTCTCTGCAGCAGGGGAACCTCACCTCCAACAGGGGCAATCTCACCCTCTCCAGCAGGGGGGATCCTGACCCTCTCCAGGAGAGGGAATTTCACCCTCTCCAGCAGAGGGAAACCTGACCCTCTCCAGCAGGGGGAATCTCACCCTCTCCAGCAGAGGGAAACCTGACCCCGTCCAGGAGAGGGGAATCTCACCCTCTCCAGGAAGAGGAAACCTTACCTTCTCCAGCAGGGGGGAACCTGACCTTCTCCAGCAGGGGGGAACCTGACCTTCTCCAGGAAGGAGGAACCTCACCCTCTCCAGGACGGGGGAACCTGACCCTCTCCAGCAATGGGGGGAATCTCACCCTCTCCAGCAGGGGAGCCTCACCTTCTCTAGCAGGGCCTTCACCTCCCACTCCTGGCGCTGCTTCCGGCTTCTGTATGGATTACTCTCCAGGCCATCGAAGTTGGGCTCACCGGCCCCTGAAGGGAGGGAGGGAGAAGCATGGAGCCATAAGGAAGAACCTCAGTCCAACAGCTCCAGCCCAACTAAGCCCCCAGTTCCTGGATGTCTCTGGCCCAAACTTCCACCCAGAGTTCATTCACTTCAAGCCCCATCCCCTGGCCCACTCACCAGGGACCAGCATGCTGGTGATGCCCCCAGTGTGCCCCACCCCCAGCACATCTTCAAAGGGGCAGAACTGAAGGCCATGCACAGGGCCTGAGAGCCGGTGGGTGAGGTAGGGCTGTTCAAGGGAGGGTGGGCTGGCCTTGCCCTGCCCTGCCCAGATGTTGACAACGTCACCCATTCCCGCCACCAGCAGTCCCCTCTGGGAGAAGGCCAGGTGCCCTGCTCCATGGGGCAGGGTCCGAGTGCTCAGAGGCTGGTACGTCCCTCGCAAGTCAAAGATCTTCAGCTGGTGGTCTAGGCCAGAGGTGGCCATGTACCTGGTGAGAGAAGAGGGATCAATTAATATGTCAGTAAATGGGTTTACCAAGCAAGCTGTGGCCAAGTCCAGGCATCAAGTCTGGCTGGGGAGAAAAAGATTAATAGTAATAACCACTGCCATCACCCTGAACACTCCACAGGCATCCTCTCAGTTAAGCTGCACACAACTCATACTATTTTTATTTCCCTTTAAGAGGTGAGGAAACTGAAGCTCAGGGAAAGGAAAGCTAGGTCAGTGAATGGTCAGGCCTGTCTCTTTAGCATCTGCCTCTAACCTGCTAACACCACACAGCCCTCTCAAGACACGGGCGTCAAAAGGAACGCCCACACGACAGGCTGCACCCAAATGTGATGTCCCCCTGTACACACATGCAGCACACAGCCCAGCAAGGGGAAGGAGCATGTGCAGTGGTCAGAAAGGCTTCATGGGAAAGGTGGGATTTGAGCCATTCTAGATAATTCTCAAAAAATTACAGGAAGTAGATACACAGCAGGTTCAAATGCATTAACACCAGAGTGTTGAGACTGAGAGGGAAGCAGAGGTTTGTTAGGATTGGTGGGAAACATGGTCAGGAAAATCAGGAGCAGACAATTTGTGAGGTTTCTTTAAAGTCAGACTGAGGACCCACAGCTCATGATCCCAACATTGCTCTCTGGCAGTGACAAATCACAAAGTGAAGGCTCCAAGGACTTGAGAAGACCTACTCAGGGAAGTGGTGAAGTAATGCACTGGAGGCCCTTGCCCTGCCCCTCTGTGTGCTTTCCCTGGAAGGAAGGAGGGAAGGTTGGTGACCAAATCCTCTCCAGGAATCATGTACTGCATAAGTTGTTTACTTTCAGAAGTTGGAGTTCCTTTTTTTGAGACAGGGTCTCTCTGTTGCCCAAGCTGGAGTGCAGTGGCATGACCCTGGCTCACTGCAGCCTCTGCCTCCCTGGTTCAAGTGATTCTCGTGCCTCAGCCTCCCAAGTAGCTGGGATTACAGGCATGCGCCACCACCGCTAATTTTTAGTAGAGCCAGGGTTTCGCCATGTTGACCACGCTGGTCTTGAACTCCTGGCCTCAAATGACCTGCCCACCTTGGCCTCCCAGAGTGCTGGGATTACAGGTGAGGTTGGAGTTTCTATGTTCAAGTTGTTCCTTAGAGAGGGAAGCTGAAGGGGGACCAGCCAGGTAGGGGATGTATGTTTGCCAAGAGGCCAAGGAGTCTCTTTTTTGCCTTGGCTGTGAACCCAGGAGAAGGGAACTGAAGAGTTCTTATGAGCAGAGACTTGCACAGTGATGGAGCCCAAGAGAGGACCAGCTGGATACTTCCGACAAGATAATCAGCGCCCTGACTTTACCAAAGAGAAAGGCCATCAGTGCAAACCAGGAATTACCGAGCGCTCGTGGAACACAGGGTCACATCCTTTGGTGAACTAACAACTCAAGGATGCATGCTGGCTCTTCTCCCCTCCACACACCCATCTATGGGACCCCTGGGTAAAGACCAGCCCAGTGCCAAATGGGAGTCTACTGTACTACTAGTAAGCAGCAGTTCGGCTTTGAGAAGTCAACGCAATCCAATCATAATACAAGCTACCAGAACACCTCTTAAGAAAGATGGTCAGCCTCATCACTGGAGCCCCCGTGGCCTGACAAGCTCCTGAGGAGGACCAGAGAAAAGCAGGGATGGGCTGAAGATCACAAGGACCAGAGCTGTTTAGCCTCAAGGTGTTGATTAAACTTCAGGCCTCAGCGAACTAGTGATTAAGCCCTAAGCACAGGAGTGGCTGACCCAGGTAGCCCACGGAGGGCAAGCTACAGCTTTGGCCCAGTGGCCCAGAGAGGGCAGAAACCCTTGGGCAGGCCTTCTGACTCTCCTAGAGCCAGGCTGGTATAAATATGGAGTAAAAAGGGCAGAACCAAATCACTCATTCACAAAGATACAATTACAAAGGCCAGACACGGTGGCTCACGCCTATAATCCCAGCACTTTGGGAGGACAGGCGGGTGGATCACAAGGTCAGGAGTTCAAGACCAGCCTGGCCAACATGGTGAAATTCCATCTGTACTACAAATACAAAAATTAGCCGGGTGTGGTGGCACACACCTGTAGTCCCAGCTTCTCAGGAGGCTGAGGCAGGAGAATCGCTTGAACCCAGGAGGTGGAGGTTGCAGTGAGCCGAGACCACACCATTGCACTCCAGCCTGGGTGACAGAGTGAGACTCCGTCTCAAAAAAAAAAGATACAATTATGCAAAAACAGGGAGCGGGTGGTGGGGGGGGTGGTCCCAGCATCCTGGAGACTTTGAATAAGCTGGTGGCCAAGCTGGATGTGGTGGCTCACAGTAATTACTCTGTAATCCCAGTACTTTGGGAGGTTGAGGTAGGAGGACCGCTTGAGCCCAGGAGTTCAAGACAGAGACCAGCCTGGGCTACATGGTGAAACCCCATCTCTACAAAAAATAGAAAAATTATCCAGGTGTGGTGGTGTGTACCTGAGTCAAATTCTGGGTGACAGGAAAATTCTGGGAGATGAGAGCAGGTCAAGAGAAACTTTAGGAGGCGGTGACCTATCCAGTGATGGACACATTGAGTCTGGGATGACAGAGGATAACTGTGTAGAAACTAATGGCATCACCTGAGCTAGGCGTGGTGGCTCATGCCTGTAATCCCAGCACTTTGGGAGGCCGAGGTGGGCGGATCACCTGAGGTCAGGAGTTTGAGACCAGCCAAGCCAACATGGCAAAACCCCATCTCTACTAAAAATACAAAAATTAGCGCATGCAGTGGCATGCACTTGTACTCCCAGCTACTTGGAGGCTGAGGCAGAACAATCACTTGAGCCTAGGAGGCGGAGGTTGTAATGAACCGAGATCGCGCCACTGCACTCCAGCCTGGGTGATAGATCAAGACTCCGTCTCGAAAAATAGTAATAAAATAAATAAATGCATCACCTGGCCAATCATTCTCAAAAACCATAGCCATGGCCGGGTGCAGTGGCTCACGCCTGTAATCCCAACACTTGCACTTTGGGAGGCCGAAGCAGGTGGATCACGATGTCAGGAGTTCAAGACCAGCCTGGCCAAGATGGTGAAACCCCATCTCTACTAAACATTAAAAAATTAACTGGGCGTGGTTCGTGGGCGCCTGTAATCCCAGCTACTCAGGAGGCTGAGGCAGGAGAATCGCTTGAACCCCGGGGGGCAGAGGTTGTGGTGAGCTGAGATTGTGCCACTGCACTCCAGCCTGGGTGACAGATCAAGACTCTGTCTCAAAAAAAAAAAAAAAATAGCCACAAGTTTTTATACCTAAAGGATAACGGGAGCACCACACCAGGGCAGGCTCAACGATTCATCCTTTTGTCTCCAGAACCTCAGCGCAGAGCCCTGCCCACAGCAGGTGCCCAGTGAATACCTGATGACAAAAGGAATCAGAGGAAAATACAAATCAGACAGAAAAGCTGTGGAAAATGCAGATACTCCCTCAGGAACAGCAGAAATCCAAAGCAGACACCACCTCCACCCCTCACATCAGCCAGACCTGGAGAGAACGATCATCTTGAATGACAATGATGAACACAGCGCTCCCTATTTTGCTAAGCGCTGTGCTAAACTATATGCCTTAACTCATCTTAATGTCTACAACAGCTTATATGAGGGCTTTAAACCAAGGCTTGGTAAACTACTGCCCATGGGCCAAACCTGGCCCATCATCTAGTTCTGTATAGCCCACAAGCCAAGAATGGTTTTTACATTTTTAAGTGGTTGAAAAAAAATCAAAAGAATATTTTGAGACTGTGAAAACCGTATGAAATTCAAATTCCAATATCCAACAAATAAAGTTTTATTGGAACGGGGCCACACTATTTACTTAATACTGTGGCTGCTTTTGCTCTACAACACACAGCCGAGTGGTCACGACAGCGACTACAGCATCCTGATTTGCACTGCTGCTTTGTACACTACAAGTCACAGTGACACAGTCGTAAGTGCTTCACAGCATTTCAAGCACCTCACATATCACCTATCATTACCTGTGTGAAAAGATGTTTTCAAAGATGAAATACTTGCAATCTCTACAGATCAGCATGAACATGAATATCTACAGTCAAATTTGACCATCTGGAACACTAACTTTGTACATCAATTAGGCAAAATGTTAACCTCAAAAAGAGAAATTCAGTTCTTCCCATTAGTAGATCTGTATTACACAAATATATTTGATTATTATTATTTTTTTTTTCTGAGACCGGGTCTCACTCTGTTGCCCATGCTAGAGTGCAGTGGCATGATCACAGCTCACTGCAGCCTTAACCTCCTGGGCTGAGGTGGGAGGATCACCTCAGCCTCCTGAGTAGCTGGGACTACAGGCATGCACCACCACACCCGGCTAATTTTTCTATCTTCTGTAGAGACAGAGTTTTGCCATGTCATGGGTGACATGGCTTGTTTCGAACTTCTGGGCTCAAGTGATCTGCCCACCTCAGCCTACCAAACTGTTAAGATTACAGGCATGAGCCACTGTGTCCAGTCTCATATTATGTTTTGTTTGTTTGTTTGTTTTTGAGACGGAGTTTTGCTCTTGTTGCCCAGGTTGGAGTGCAATGGCACAGTCTTGGCTCACTGCAACCCCTGCCTCCCAGGTTCAAGCAATTCTCCTGCCTCAGCCTCCCAAGTTGCCGGAATTACAGGCCCCCGCCACGACACCCGGCTAATTTTGTGAATTTTTAGTAGAGACAGAGTTTCGCCATGTTGGCCAGGCTGGTCTCAAACTCCTGACCTCAGGCGATCCACCCGCCTTGGCCTCCAAAGTGCTGGGATTACAGGCGTGAGCCACCGCACCTGGCCATATTACGTTTAATTTTATAACCTAAAAATGTGTGGGCCAGGCGCAGTGGCTCACGCCTGTAATCCCAACACTTTGGGAGGCCGAGGCGGGCAGATCATCTGAGGTCAGGAGTTCAAGACCAGCCTGGCCAACACAGTAAAACCCCGTCTCTACAAAAAAATACAAAATTAGCTGGGCATGATGGCAGGTGCCTGTAATCCCAGCTACTTGGGAGACTGAGGCAGGAGAATCGCTTGAATCTGGGAGGCGGAGGTTGCAGTGAGCCGAGATCACGCCACTGCACTCCAACCTGGGAGACAGAGCAAGACTACGTCTCTCTCAAAAGATTTAAAAAAAAAAAGGTCAGGCGCAGTGGCTCACGCCTATAATCCCAGCACTTTGGGAGGCTGAGGCGGGCAGATCACTTGAGGTCAGGAATTCGAGACCAGCCTGAACAACATGCTGAAACCCTGTCTCTACTAAAAATACAAAAATTAGCCAGGTGTTGTAGCAGGCGCCTGTAGTCCCAGATACTCGAGAGGCCAAGGCAGGAGAATCACTTGAACCTGAGAGGTGGAGGTTGCAGTGAGCTGAGATTGCGCCATTGCACTCCAGCCTGGGTGTCAGAGCGAGACTCCATCTCAAAAAAAAAAGTTGTGATAATTTGTTTTCTCTTGGTATTTAAATGCCTACATGGTACCCTTTGATTTTACCTCTTATCAGCAAATCATAAAATATTTACTATCTGACTCTTTACAGAAAAAGTTTGTGGACCCTTGAAATGGACACTCATATTTCCATTTTCGGGGTCAGGAAACTGTGGCACACAGAGGTTATGAAATATGCCTATACTTGCAAGGCCCATCCGTGGTAACACTGCGATTTAAACCTGGGCATCCTGGCTTTAGACTCTGTGCTCCTAAAGCACACTGCCTTCCACACCTTTCTGCCCACCTATGACTCCTAACACCTCACCCCACCAGTGACTTACGTGCCTGTAGAATCTACTGCCACAGCCCGGACCCCACCACGATGACAGAGAATCTTTGCCAGTGGCTCCTTCATAGCTGGACTCCATAAAGACACAGTACCTGGAAGAGAAGAAGAACCAAAGTTGCTAATACACACCTAAGCCTGAGGTTACTAAACATGGGAAAGATGGGAACTCAAGACCAAGAGATAACAAAAAAGGGAAATAAAAGGGTAACTTTAAGGGACTCATGAAGTACAAATATAGAAGAAAAGCAAGTCAGGATGGTCAGAGTCAAAACTAAGCCAGGTACTGACCATTGCTGTGTCCGAGATGGATGACGGCATTGTAAGGGTTCTGACTCATAACATCGAGCCGCCCAGCTCGAGCATTCAGAGCTGCCACAATCTTCCCCACTGACACATCCAGGTAGGTTAGAAACCCTGTTTCTGACTGAGAGAGAAAGACAGAGAGAATGACCCAGTCCTGATTGCCCTCTGTATTCCCTCTGCTGGGGTCCTAAAGGAGAGGTGGTCATCCCAAGGGCTTCCAACCAGTTCCTGAGCTCCATGGCCACTCACAGCTGTAGCCAGGAGGAAGTGGAAGGGCAGGAACTCAAGCCGTGTTACTCGGTCACAGCGGCGGATACAGTGGAGCTCAATGCCCTGATTGTCATAGATGTGGAGCCAGCGGTTCTGAGCAACAGCAAGCAGTGCCTCAGAATGGAGAAACCTGGGGGAGAGGAAGAGTGGTTCAATTGGGAAATGAGGTCACAGGCTATCATTCAATCAGGAATGGACTATCTCACCCCAACTGACCGCTGACAGTGAGGCCACTGACCGGATGTCCCGCACCGCCTCCATGACGTTGATCTCGCACATAAGCTTCTTTGTTACCCAATCAAGGGCAGCCACATGACCTCGGCGCCCTCCAAAAGCCAGGTGTCTGTTGGAGGTGAGGGGCAGGCAGGGTGTTAAGGCAGGGGACCACCGACTCAGACAACTTGAGGTCTGCCCCACGCCAGCCCCATCTCTCCAGGCGGGCAGACACATGTTGCTGTAGGTGCTTACCCTCACACCCAAGCAAATCGAAGGACCCTCCCCTCATCAGCAACCCAAACATACACTGGGAATGGCTGAAGTGGTTAAGGAAACACATCTTAGTTCAAGAGTCACTAGAATTCAACCTTACCTTCCAGTTCGAGAGTAGTTTAGTCTGTAGGGTCCAAACTGCCGCAGATTCAAGTCAAAGTGCTGGGAAAGAGAAGAGTGAAAAAAAAGAGTGCCCTGCAGTAACGCCTTCTTCTAGCCCCCATTCCTCTATTGTCCTGCACCACCAATCAATCCCTTGGCTCCTTTACCTCCTCAGGCTCACCTTGGCTGCACTTGCAATGTCCACAGCCTCCACAATGTCAGCCTGGCATATCTTTGCTGTGTCTTCCCCATCCTCCCCTTCCAGAAACCTGAAAGCAAGGGTTAGGATGGCAGTAAAGCTTCCCAATATGAAGCAAGTATACCAACATAAAAACGAGAAAAGACAGTCCCAAAAGGCAGGGAATGGGGGTCCAGATTAGGGCTCACTCACCCAGGTTCTTCAGCAAGCAGCAGCTCAGAACGAGCAGCTTTGATACTTGTTTCCTCTTCCTCAGCTTCAGCCACCTCAAGTCGGCTTCGAGTTTTGGCTTTAGAATGTGGTAGCTGTAACATTGTTGGTGGGGAGGAGTGGCAGAAGAACCACAGGATAAGTGGGGTCACAGGAGAGCTACCTGTCCCAGCCTCCATCCAACTCACCCAGACACTCCCTGCCTCCAGCACTTCCCAACTCTCCGGCTGGACCTCACCTTTCGGGATTTGTCAATGCGACAGAACTTCTGGACCACTTCCACAGGGACGGGGGCGGGGCCTGGGAATGGATCTTGGGCCTAGGGGAAAGGAGGACGCAATTAGCAGACAGCCTTGGATTGACCCCAACCCTCTCACTCTCAAGGAACGAGGCGGCCTGCCTCGCCACCCATCAGGTCCCACGCTCACCCCGGACAAGCCGCGCTGGGACTCCGGGTTCTTCCATTCTCGGGGTTTCTTCGGGACCTGAGGCTTCTTAGAGATCCGAGACTTCTTTAAGATGTAAGCATTTTTTGGTCTCTGAGGACGGAGCTCCCGATTCTTCTTGTTACGAGGAGGCCCTGGAGAGGCTCCGGCTGTGGTCGGAACGGTCTCTTCCTCCCAGTATCGCCGCGGTTTCTACAGGCACATCAGGAACTCCGCACTCACGCCCCGCCCCCCGACCCCACAGCTAAAAACTTCGTTTCCCACCCAGGGAGGCCTCTACCTTTCTCTTGGTCTGAAGTTTGTCTTTCTTGGGCGGGACATCCTTGCCCGGCTTGGGGGCTGTCTCCATCTCGCCCACCCGAACGGCGATCCACGTGCAAAACTCCTCTCAGCTGCCACACAGTCGGCTTGAAAACTCCCGGAAGCCCTCTGTCCTTCATCCAATCAGCAGCGTACCAGGTATGAAGCTCTCTAGGTGCCATCTTGAGTGAGGGCACGCTCTCCTTAGAGGGGCGGAACAGTTTTTGGCACCTTATCGCGAGCGGCAGCTTATGCAAGAGTGACTTAAAAAAGAAAGGCAGGTCCGGAGCCAGGGGCTAAGTAGCGGTGCGGTTTCTTTTTCTGGATTAGTTTCCCCATCTTGCCTAAAAATGTCCTAGTCTAGTCTTTTTAGCAGAACTCCACTCCCTAAACATGTCAGAACTACACTTCCCATCAAGGGTCAGAAAGAAACTTCCGGCACAGTCTTTTCCCAGCATTCCTTGTTTACTTCCGGGTTTATTACTACTGAAGGAAGAACGTGAGTAGGTTAGGATTTCGGTTGAGAGGCTTGGGGTCTTGCGTTTCGCCCACCATCTCCTGGGGACAGGGTGGAGTCGATATCCGGGACGGGGGGGAGGTTGCGGTGCCCCTCAGGGCTACCTCTCAAGAGTGCTATCATTTCCGCAGGCCAGATCAGAAAAGGGAGCTCAGGTACCTTCCAGAGAGTGAGACCCAGCGCCCTTGTCTCGCACCCAGTAGGCTTTCATCCCCGCCATGGCGGAGCTGATCCAGAAGAAGCTACAGGGAGAAGTGGAGAAATATCAACAGCTACAGAAGGGTAAGGGAACAGGGTCGGTATGGTCTCGCCCAATGCACTTACAACCCAAAGCCATTACCGAGATAAGGTTTGTTGCCCCATCTGGGCCCTCGCGTGCAGAGACTTCCCCGCCTCAGTCTCAGTACTCTTCCCTGTTCACTCACCCGCTGCCCCCATCCTTTTCTGCTTCCTCAGATCCATATCCACCTGACTAGGATTGTGGGGATAGGTGGCACATTTGATGTTTCTAAATTGCCTTTCCTCTCATCCCCAGACTTAAGTAAATCCATGTCGGGGAGGCAGAAACTTGAAGCACAACTAACAGAAAATAATATCGTGAAAGAGGTGAGGGACTGGGATTTGTGGGGCGAGGAGGGACCTGTACTAGCCATGGTTCTGATCACATATGTCCCATCCCTCCATCAGGAACTGGCCCTGCTGGATGGGTCCAACGTGGTCTTTAAACTTCTGGGTCCGGTGCTAGTCAAACAGGAGCTGGGGGAGGCTCGGGCCACAGTAGGGAAGAGGCTGGACTATATCACAGCTGAAATGTGAGTTTTTATTCCACCACCGTGTGCTGCACCCTGTGATGCAAGTGAACCATTGGAGTAGAGGTGTTGAACCATTGCAGAACAGCTCTCCATAGTGGCCCCTAGTCCTCCAGTTCCTCCAACCCTTTCCTTCCCTTTTAACCCCCCTTCTTCTCCCTCCCCTGGATCTCAAGTTTTCCACCTATCTCTTTCTTGCGTTTAGCACTCTCCATAGTGAGTCCTACTAATTTCTCCCTTTCTGCTTGTCTCCCTTGTCTCTCCTTAGTAAGCGATACGAATCCCAGCTTCGGGATCTTGAGCGGCAGTCAGAGCAACAGAGGGAGACCCTTGCTCAGCTGCAGCAGGAGTTCCAGCGGGCCCAGGCAGCAAAGGCAGGGGCTCCTGGCAAGGCCTGACCCCATGGTGGGGGGAGGGGAGGGGAGGGGAGGGAATGAGGCAGCTCTAGGATCTATACTGTAGCTAATAAAATGTAAAAACACCTGGCTCTGTTTCCTGACCAGGCACTTCTGTCATATCCCCACAGCCCCTTCCACCTTAACACACACCACCTGTATTACCCCCTCAGGTTCAAACTCTTGCACTTGGAATCTCTTTGTGGCACAGTGTTCTTTCTTGAAAGTGAAATCCTAAATGTCTTCAAACCTACTTCTTGCCTGTATATACAACCCTTAACTCTCCCTCATCTTGGTTGGCATGATTCTTTTGGAAGGGCATTTGCAACATACCATATTGCTAGGAATGTCGGTTTAATTGAAAAAGAATACACAGTTCTCTAACCTGAGGCCCCAGGATGAAATGTGGTTACCCTCCTTGCCAACAGCCCTGGCATCTCTATTAGTACTTTTCAGCCTCTGTCTTCCTAGAATTTGCTTGAATGTAGCTTTAAACTGACTTAAAATCCCAGCATGTAATGCTTTATGGTATTATAAGTCCTCCCAAGTTTATATGTTGTCCATAAAGTTGTTCTGCCATTTCCTTGTCCTAAAATTGTTTTATACACATTTGCAGCAAGGGACCAGTGGTAGAGAGGTTACTGGAGAGAAACTGTTCTGAGGAAACTTTTTTCACCAATACCTCACTTTTTGCTCTGTTCATGGGGACAGAAAACATTGTGCCCCTTCCTGTTCCATGGCATCTACCTTCAGCCAATTCCCCACCCCCACTCATAGCAGCCAGTTCATATGTACTGCAAGGACAGGGGAGTAGAATTCAGGTAGTGTTTTGGTTTATTATCTTAGTGTTGTCACAGTGATAGAAACCCCCAGAGTGGGAAGAAGAGCTCCTGCGAGGACCTACATTTTGCCATTCCCCTCTGCCCTGGGGCTCAGAGCCTTGAAGCCTTTGCTTGGCCCTTGCATGTTAGGATATGGCCAAGAATCAGAAACTGATGCGTTTTTCCAGCACTACCTGTGTGCTGCACTCATGGAAGGTGGGAAGCTATACACAGGTATCCAACTTGGTTATAAGACACCAGTTCCCACAGGGCTGGATTTCTCAGCTGTCTGGTAAACCAGTGGCACTTCACTGCCCCAGGGTGGCTGGCTCCCTTTCTGAATTTCTGTCTCAATGTGATATAATTGCCACCATTCAGGATGGCTACCCACATCTGGTATGAACACCATGACTTCTGTAAGCCAACGGGGCTTCCTCCTCAGAACAGTGCCCGTGCAATCTTCCTCCCTGTGGCCTTGATCCTGGGAAAGGAGCCCCCTCCTCCCTCACTCGGAGGAGTTCCTGAGGCAGACGGGCCACTGGTGACGCCAGGTGTAGCAGTAGAGGACCTTCGCCGCTGCCGCAGGAGGAAATCGTGTGAAGCTCCATCCATGGCGTAGAATACATTAGCCGAGGCTGGGATAGTCAGCTCTGAAGGTTCAGGGGATGGATGTAAAGCACACACACAGTTGTTCCCCCCACAGCCGCCCAGATGTGGAAGTACTCCACTCTCCTCCCGAGTCTGCCTTTCCCTCATGGCCTCTGACCTCGCTCCCCTGGTAGCAGCTGTACCAGCTCATACTCTGAAGCCACTGCAGAGTCACGATTGTTTTTCTTAAGGACACGACTGATGACACTTGGAGCCTTGTCCTGGCTTGTCACCTGGCAGAACAGGAGACCAAAAGAGCAATCAATCAGCCATGATTTCCCATCCTTCTACCCTCAGCCACTGAACCCAACCACAAAATGTTACTTGTGTCCAAGGCTTTAAAATGAACAGGAAAACCCAATATGGTGGCTTCCTATACCCCATAAGCCAGCCCACATGGTGCCCAGTGAAACAGAGCTGCTTCCCTGTGGGGAAACTGCTGTTGATTCTGAAATTTTAACACGGCGACCAAAAGTTTAAGGTGTAGCAACTAATGCAAAATAGCCATCAAAATAAAACAAATTTCAGCTTCTATTGAAGACTAGAGTTTAGAAGATAAAATTAAAAATAAAACATAACTGCCAAAACCAAAGGTCAAAATTAAAACTACATTCAATTCCATTTGGCTGCCCAAACCTCAGACAACATTTATAGTCCAACAAGACACCATCCTTCACCCCAACTCCATCCCAAGGCTCCCTCACCAAAATGCTCTTATAGACACTGCCATCTTCCCCCAACTCCATCTGGACTCGGATGATACGGCAATCAGAGGCCCCTGGCCCAGATCCCTCTCCCCCATATCCAGTCCCCCCGGAGGCCTCTTCTGCACCCCCACTCAGCGGGGAGCCACAGGAGGCTGAGCGGCGGTGACCTCGAGAAGGCCTAGGGGAGGAGGCTGGTGGGGAGAGGTGGCTGGGGTCAGCTGGACTGTGCAGGGATGGACTGCTTTCCAAGGCAGAGTCTAGTGACGAGACAGATGGCCACTTCATGTGCTAGGAACAAACAACATGGGACTGGCATGAAGGCAGGGAGGTTTAAGGAAGAAACATTTACAGAGTGAGGGTCAGCGTCAAGGTCAGAGTCAGGAGCAGAGCTCACCTGGGCCAGCCGAGTCAGCAGAGGAGCAGGAGTTGTAGGCGCCTCATCTCCCCCAGTACTGGGCCGGTCACAGGACACAAGCGGGGTAGGGACCCCAACAGAGCCCAAAACCCTGCAGTGGCAGGAGATTGGGAGGATCAGAGAAAAGTGGAAGTCCCAAGAAACCACCCCCCAGCCAGTGAATCTCTCACTCTGTCCACTGCGAGATGACCAATGTTGGCCGAAGCACCCGTGGGGCAGGAGGGTCACTGGAACCAGGTGGCTCCACCTCACAGGATACACGATGGCTGGGTTAGGGGGGCAATAGGCAGAGCTCAGGACATGACACCAATCCCCCACACCTGGCCAGAACCCTGGAGTCCCAACCTCACCCGCCAGTCACCTCTGAGCCTCTGTCAGTGGCCGGAGCCCCTGTAGCCACCTCTGGATATCATGGTCAGGTTGGAGGTTATAGCCACGACATTCATTCTGGAGCCGTCGCAACTCAGAAAGGACTGCAAACTCCTGGGAAGGAGCCCTCAAACTGCAGGAGCCAAAACTCAGGGACCCCTGACTTTTCCCCCTCCCCTTCCTGGAACATGGATAGGGAAGTCCAGCATCCAGCCCAGACACTCCGCTCACCTTCCTCCGCTTGTCAAAATTGATGTATCCATTCTGCGAGGAAAATGGGGATGGGGTGAAAGTTCCAACCCTACCTTCCGGCCACAGAGAGAGAATATCCCCTCTCTTAAACACACACAGCCACATCCAACTCACAACCACTTCCCTCCAGCCTCTCTGACTCTTCGATCCCTCCCTGCCTTCCTCCTCAATCTATCATGGCCTAAGCACTCCACTTGACCCTTTAAATTGAATTTCTCAGGTAGACAACGAGTCTGCTTTGCAGATGAGAGGACTGGATAGTATCCAATTCGACAGGATTCCTTATCCAGAGAGGATAAGGAACTTGTCCAAGGTCTCAGTATTTGTTTATTTAACAAACTCTAGCAATAGAGCAGGAGCCCATCACAAAACCTAGATGTGCTTACGTTTCAGGCACGTTCTAAGCACTTGACAAATACAAATTCATTTAACCCTTATAACAGATCAATGTAGATGCTATTTCTAGTTTCCCATTTACAGATCACTGAGGCGACTTGGCACAGAAACAGATCTGGCTCTGTCCCACACTCAGCTATTTGTGCCTTACAGCCCCTTGCAAGGGGCGGGGGGGTCTGTCCGACCCTGCAGCCCACTTGTTACATCATTGCAATGACACACACACACACCACTGACCTCCAACTCATCCTTGGAGGCTGCATCCAGCATCACAAGGTCCTTCAGGAAGGTGCCAAGGTATGGGACCACACCCTGAAGTCAGGGGTCAGGGTCAGAAGTGCCTGCCATTGACGTGAGGGCCCTCCATCCCTCCGCACTTGCCCTCCTCATTGCCTCAGAGAACAGATTTCATTCTCCTCACCCCTCTGTGCCTCCCTTACCCATCCTTCAGGCTGCTCCCCCAAAACATACTCCTCACCCCTTCATAATCACCACCCCCACGCCCACCACCCCGCTAGTCACTCACCCCACCCCGGGAGCCAGACCTCGGGGCCTTCTTGGAGTGTGGCTCCAGAGGAGACTGCAGCTTCACCTCCTGGTGGTGACAAAATAAAAGAGACATGGGGGAGCAGTAGGGAACAAGGAGAGGTGGGAATGCCACAAACCAGGCTCTCACCTGCACGAGCAGCTCCCGACTCTGGGAATAATTATCCTCCTCGGAGAAAATCTGGCAGAGGCTGGAAAAGACTCTGAGGCTGTCCCTGGGGAAGGGAGAAAAGTGGCCCTGAGGACAGGCCTGGCTCTGTCACCCCCTCTTCCCCGCCTTCTGAGGAACCCCCACCCCAGTCCAATGCCTCAGCCTCCGCACCTGGTTGCTTCCCCCCAGGCTGCCCGAAGCCTGTGGATGGGGCTGGACTGCAGGGCTGACACCACGGCATAAACTGAAGAGAAGTTTCGGAGCAGCCGGCACTCCTGTGGGGGTCAAAGAAGAGAGCTAAGGCTATGGGAGGCCTCTCCATTCCATGGCCACAAACCGTAGGGCAATCTTCTCTCTCACCTCTGCCACGCGGATCCACTTCTCCAGGAGCCGGGCCCTCTGTGGGGGACGGAGTGGCCGTATGGTCACCTCCCCAGGTCCCTCTCCAGTGGAAGTAGCCCCCAGGACAGAACTAACCACTGCCCCTGCCACCTTGTTAAACTGTGTGACAGTAGCTCGGACAGATGGGCAGAGGTGAGAATGTCCTGGCCGGTCTCTGTGACCCCACAGGCCTCCCAGGCACTGAGAGGGGATCAAATTGAGAAAAAGTTCCTGCAGGGTAGAGGTCAGAGGTTAAAGTTCATAGTCAAGTGAGGTCAGCCTTCCAATATCAGGGATCTGAGGATCTCAGGTGGCCAAGGAACCAGAGGGGCACAGGGTTTGAAGGGTAACGACCAAAGGGAAAAGGGGAGAATCAAAATGGTAGGTGGAGGAGGCTAGGAGCTGGATCAGGAAGGGGTGGAAGCAAGGAAAGGATCTGGAGTCAAGGAGAGGTTAGTAAGGGGTCAGGGGGCATAGGGGCCAGAGGTCAGGGTCTCACCGCATCTAGCAGGGTCAGCTGTTCGGCCAAGTGGTCAGCGAGGAACACCAGGACATCCGTGGGGTCAGCAGGGGGATCGCCGGGGAGGGCCAGGGGCTTAGGAAGGTCGGGGGCCTGGGGGTCCACCCGGGACCGGAGATTGCGGATGAGGTCAGCGCTGCCCCCCCCAACACCCTTCCCTGCTGCATACCCTGTCTGAAGTAAGAAGCTCTCAAGCCGGTCAAGCTGACCCTTGGCCTCAGAGCCAAAATCCTCAGGGTGAGAGGCCAGCCAGGTTGACAGTACAGAGATGGCTACCCTGGGAGAAGGGAATCAGCCAAGGGTGAGAGGTAAAGCTGCAGCCTGGGCAGAGGGGACTGTGAGATTAAGAACCAGGGGTCACTCACTCTGTTGTCCTCTCTAGTTCGTCGGTAGGATGAGATTCAAGGGCTTCCAGCCTGAGGGGGAGAAGAGGATCTATCTGTCCATTTTTCCCAAACCCTCAGTGGCTTTGACTATTTTGGTGGGATGTTGCGGCTTTAGGAAATCCGGGCAGATACTCCACTACCCTGCGTCCCTTATGACTCTGACCTGTCAGCCATAAGCCCTAGCAAGGCAGGCGTGGAGGTGAAGGCCCGGTGGGTAGCCAGGAAGGCTGACATGAAGCTCACATCAGTCCCTGATGTCCGGGTATCCAGTAGGTGTCTGACCAGGGCCTCCAGAGTGCCAGCTCGGAGCCGTCGGGAGGAACGTGGGGGAGGCATAGGGACCTGGAGAACACAGAGAGATGATCGCTAACCCTTTCTCCCACTCTGCACCTAGATTTCTGAGGACAATCCCAGACCCAGGAGATGTTCCAGACTCATTTTTCTGATATTCAGAGAGGGCAAGAGTCTTGGCCTATGTCACACAGCAGAGTCCAGGACTCCAGAACTCCAACCTAGCACTCTGGCCAGAAAGTCAGCCAGAGGAAGGAAAACTGGGAATGAAGAGTCAGAGGTGAGAAGCTAAAGTCATGATCTCACCAAGGGATCAAGAGGTCGATATTGGCGGCTTGTGACGGTAAACACGGCACCATCCTCCTCCTCATCCCAGACGGACACAGGGGCCTGGAGGAGCAAGGAAGGGGAAGTCAGACAGTTCCACACCACCCCCCATTGCCCTCAGCCTTCACCCCAGGCCCTGCTCCTCCCTCTGTACCCCTCACCTGTGGTGGCAGGGCATAGTACCAGCGAGTGCGAGGAAGGGTTGGGGGAGCTGGTGACCCCAGGTCTCCCCCACTGGGGCCCAGACAGCCCCACCCCAGCCGCCTCAGGGCCCCGGTGGAGTCGAAGGGGCTGCAGTGGAGGCGTGGATGGAGTACAGGAATTCTGATCCTGGAGACCCCCAAAGCCCCTTCTCCCCAGAGCTGAACCCACACACGACAGAGAAGCAGGGTACAAAGGGCAGGAGAGGGAAGCGAGAGGCAGCAAGCCAGAGGCAGCGACTAGGGGTAGCTGAAACCTCAGTCCAGGCACTGCCGCATGCCCCGCCCCTCCCGGCCAAGGACTATACCAGCCCAGAGAATTAGTCTTTTTCAGGACCCCTTTCACCCTGGTCCCTCGGGTAGCGCCTCCACTATCTCAGCCCTAAGGGACCCCCGAAGGTAGCAGCTCCAATCCCAGTACAGGAAGGAAAAGGGGAAGTGGGATGATAGGGGGTTGGGGGCGGTAGACTCAGAGAGTCACGTGGCCCCAGCCCCTCCCCCGACCGATCCCGAAAAACCAGCCCTGCCAGTCAACCTGCCCTCACCTAGGATCTGGACCTAGGAGTTTAGGGCCTCGGGGCCCCAAATCCAAATTCTGGCCCCTCCTGAGGCCCGAAATCCTGCTCCTGGCCACCACCATTAATCCCTAATGAAAACAGATGACCACTCTCTACCCACCCTAGGATCTTTCCTCCAGGTCCCAGAACCGTGGCTTCCCGGCCTCTACCCAGGACCGGGGCGGGGCGGGGGGGCGGGGGGAAGGGGGAGAGAGGGAAGGAGGGGTCACGAAATCTGAGGGTTCCCTCCCCAATCCCAGAGTCAGAGGAGCTGGTTACTGTGGAAACAAACCCCTCCCCGCCAAACAAAAACAAGGAGGGAGACAGGGACCAAGACACGACTGCTCAGAGAGGTAGGCACACTCAGGCAGGCAGAGGTGGAGGGCCAAAGACCCGCAGGGACAGGACAGCCAGCCAGAAGTTCCAGGCAGGAACAGGGCAGGTTCCTGCGGGCAGGTCCTGAGTCACACTGACAGAGAACCACGGAGACGCCAGGACTCCCCGCAGCAGAGAAACGGGCCGACACCCAGGGAGGCGCGAGAATAACTGAGGCAAGGAGGAGGAGATGTAGGGACCCAGAGACAAGAGAAAAGTGGAGACTTCAGAAATACATACGCCCCCTACCTCCCACCACCCGCGTCTCACCTCTTCTTCTTCCTCCTCCTCTTCCTCCTGCCCCCCGCCCACGACCAGGCCACCTGGGCCCCCACCCTCTTCGGGGTCCCGGCTTCGGAAGCTGCTCAGTACGACTCCCCCGGGGGGGCTCGTGTCCAAAAGCAGCCGCAGGGGCCGCGGGAGCATGGCCGAGTGAAGGAATCAGCGGGGTCGGGCCATGGGGGCGCCTGGGGAGAGACGGGGTGGGGTGGGGGTGGAGAGTCAGGCAGGCGCGGGGGAACCGGGCAGGGAAGGGACGTGGGTGGGTGTCAAGAAGACCGGAAGGGAGTTCTGCAGGAAGGTTGGGGGAGGGGGCAACAGAAGGGTGGAATAGGGGGGCCCTTGGTGCTGTTGGGGAAGGAGGAGGTCACGAGTACGGGGACGCGCAGGGTGCTCAGGCTCTGACCTGCTCGGGAGGGGTGGGGGCAGCGTGGGTCCTGAGCCGCTGTTGCCGTCGGTCTCCGGCCCCGGACCGAGTCCCCTCCCCGGCTTTTCCGTACCCCCTTGAACCCCCCCGCCGGGCTCCTGGGCCCTCCCGCCCTTTCCGCTCCCCCCCGCGTCCGCCCGCTCCGAGAGCAGGAGCCAAAAGGGGAAGGAAGTGAGGACAGGAGCCAGGGCCGCGGACTAGGGGAGCGCTGGACGCTCAGGGACCAGGACCCAGGCGCCCGAGTCCCCAGCTCCACTGTCCTCCGCCTCTACACTCGGGGATTCTGGAGACCACGTCGACCCGCAATGAACTGGAATAAAGATTCCAGTCTCCAGCCCCTGGGGGAAGGCAGGAGCAGAATTTGACATTCCCTTCCCCAACAATAACACGGCTAAAACTCCCGCGGGAAGCGTTTCAGGCGGAGAGAGAGCCGGTCACTCCATCCCCACGGGATTACCCTCCCTACCACAACCCACGAATGTAGCTGACCGAAATCCCGGCCGGGTTTTCCGAAGGGCCCTCGATTCCCGCCCCCTCGGCAGGGGGCGGGGCAGGAAGCAGCCACATCCGGTTCCAGATTCGGCTCTCAGAGGCTTCCGGCGCCGAGACCGAGATCCCCGTCGGCTCGGTGTATCCTCGCTGGTGGAGTACCCTCTGCTTGAGCGCATCTCATGCGCCAGTAGTGGCGCCCGCCCCGAACGGTGTCGACGGGGCGTTCTCTGAGCGGTTCAGGGTCACTGGAAGGGACCAGAGGTGATTGGAATATTCATTGAGCTTGGAAAGGGGTTGGAATGAGAGAACCGTTTGGAAGCACTGGAATACAGCTTTATTCCTACACGATTAGACCCGTTACCCCGTGGGTCTGGCCGACCGTCCTGACTCGGAGATCCCTGAGCTGCGCCGCCGCTTCCTTCGTCAACATCCAGCAGCTACTTGATGAGCGCCCTCCAGTGGGCCTTAGGTCCCTATGCCGGCGCGGGGTTACAGCAGTGGACAGACAGGCCAGTCCCTGTCCTCGAGGAGCCCATGATCCGCGGGGAGACAGGCATTTAACGACGACTCACACGATCACTTAAATACAACTGTGGTGAACCGCACAAGAGGGACGCGCGGCGGTCTGCGGGGAATGACGAGGCCGACCTCGTCTGCGACCCAGGGAGGGCAAGGGTGGACCAGGCAAAGGGAACAGAGGACTGGGACCTGGAGGTGGGCGGGAGGCGTTTGGTTCATTGGAGGAAAGGAATAGCCCTGTGTGTGATGAGCATTGAGAGGAGGTCTGGCGAGCACCATCTAGGGCTGAAGAACTAGGCAGTGGCTCCAGCGCGGGGCGGTGGGGGGGACAAGTGAGCCAGGGCAAGAAGAATGGATTTGGCCCTAGAGTACGGGTTCTCCAAATGTAACCTCGGCCCTACAGATCTCTGAGACTATGTCAGGGGGTTTGTGAGATTTTATAACAAAATTAAGATGTTAGTACAATATCGTGTTTCGCCGCCGGGCGCGGTGGCTCACGCCTGTAATCCCAGCACTTTGGGAGGCCGAGGCGGGCAGATCACAAGGTCAGGAGATCGAGACCATCCTGGCTAACACGGTGAAACCCCGTCTCTACTAAAAACACAAAAAGTTAGCCGGGCGTGGTGGCGGGCCCCTGTAGTCCCAGCTACTCGGGAAGCTGAGGCAGGAGAATGGCGTGAACCCGGGAGGCGGAGCGTGCCGTGAGCCGAGATCGTGCCACTGCACTCCAGCCTGGGCAACAGAGCGAGACTCTGTCTCAGAAAAAAAGAAAGATTATTTGCAGCCGGGCGCGGTGGCTCACGCGGGTAATCCCAATACTTTGGGAGGCCGAGGCGGGCGGATCACCAGGTTAGGAGATCGAGACCATCCTGGCTAACACGGTGAAACCCCGTCTCTACTAAAAAATACAAAATATTAGCCAGGCATGGTGGAGGACGCCTGTAGTCCGAGCTACTTGGGAGGCTGAGGCAGGAGAATGGCGTGAACCCGAGAGGCGGAGCTTGCAGTGAGCCGAGATCGCGCCACTGCACTCCAGCCTGGGCGACAGAGCGAGACTCCGTCTCAAAAAAAAAAAAAAAAAAGTTTTTTGCCTTCTTCATTCTATAAGTGTACAGTGGAGTTTTTCAGAAGCTACATGATATGTATTGACACCATGGTTCCCACGATGAATAGAATGTGTGCCTATGTATTCTCGTGTTTTAAATTTTTCTCACTTTTAAGTTCTAGTACCATAAATATTGATAGCTATAACCCACATACCCAAAAGCTTTTTGGGGTCCTTGATGATTTTTAAGAGGTCCTGAGAGAAAAAAATTTTGAGAACCACTGTCCTAGAGCTCCAAGAAGGTGAATGCCATAAGATGTGTGTTTTTTAAAAAAGCATTTCTCGGGCCTGGTGTGGTGGCTCACGCCTGTAATCCCAGCACTTTGGGAGGCTGAGGTGGGCAGATCACCTGAGGTCAGGAATTCAAGACCAGCCTGGCCAACATGGTGAAACCCCGTCTCTACTAAAAATACAAAAATTCACTGGGTGTGGTGGCATGTGCCTGTAATCCCAGCTACTCCGGAGGCTGAAGCCACAGAATTGCTTGAACCCAGGAGGCGGAGGTTGCAGTAAGCCAAGATCATGCCACTGCACTGCAGCCTGGGCGGAAGAGTGAGACTCCGTCTCAAAAAAAAAAAAAAAAGAAAAATTATCCCTTATATAAGTGAAAGAAAAAAAAAAAAGCATTCCAGCCACTCAGTGGAGAGAGATTGGAGGGATTAGGAGCAGATGATAGGGTATTATTTTAGGGAGCTACTACAGAAGCTTGGGCCAGAGATGATGGTGGCTTCCACAGGATGGCAGTGAGTGCCCTCACTCTGCTTTCTGGAAGAGAGGAAGGTGGTGAGGAATTCAGGATATTAAAAGGCAGTTGAGGTGTACATGGTCAGTTTAGAGACATATAAACTATCATGGGCACAGATGATGGGAGAAGGATGAGGCTAATATTTTCTGCCCTCCAGACACTGCTGAGTGCTGTATCTCCTGCATCTTCTTAAGGAGATACACTGTCTTCCTTAATCCTCCTAAAAGTCCTCTCAGGCTCCGCTGTCCAATATGACAGCCACCACCCACATTAGGCTATTGAGCATTTGATATGTGGCTAGTCCGAATTGAGATGTGCTGACTATTTAAAATAAACACCTGTGTTTGAATACGTAAGGTGAGAAAAGGGCTGCAATTTATTTTCTTTTCTTTCTTTTTTTTTTTTTTTTTTTGAGACAGGGTCTCACTTTGTCACCCAGGCTGGAGTACAGTGGGACAACCTTAGCTCATTGCAGCCTCACCCTCCCAGATTCAAGCGATCCTTCTGCCACAGCTCCCCAAGTAGCTGGGACTATAGCTGTGTGCCACCATGCCCAGCTAATTTGTTTTGTTTTGTTTTGTTTTGTTTTTTGAGACAGAGCCTCACTCTGTTGCCCAGGCTGGAGTGCAGTGGTGCGATCTCGGCTCACTGCAACCTCCACCTCCCAGGTTCAAGCAATTCTCCTGCCTCAGCCTCCTGAGTAGCTGAGATTACAGGTGTGCACCACCATGCCCGGCTAATTTTTCTGTATTTTTAGTAGAGACGGGGTTTCACCATGTTGGCCAGGCTGGTCTTGAACTCCTGACCTCAGGTGATCCGCCCTCCTCAGCCTCCCAAAGTGCTAGGATTACAGGCGTGAACCAACGCACCTGGCCAAGACTGTAATTTCTTTTTCTTTTTTTTTTGTTGTTGAGACGAAGTTTTCCTTTTGTCACCCAGGCTGGAGTGCAATGGTGTGATCTCAGCTCACTGCAACCTCTGCCTCCCAGGTTCAAGCGATTCTCCTGCCCCAGTCTCCCGAGTAGCTGGGATTACAGGTGCCGTCACATCTGGCTAATTTTTTGTATTTTTAGTAGAGATGGGGTTTCATCATGTTGGCTAAGCTGGTCTTGAACTCCTGACCTCAGGTGATCCTCCCGCCTCGGCCTCCCAAAGTGCAGGGATTACAGGCATGAGCCATCGCACCCGGCCTGTAATTTCTTATATTGTTTACATGTTGCAATAATATTTTGGATGTACAGGTTGAGCATCGCCGATCCAAAACTCTAAAATCTGAAATGTTCCAAAACCTGAAATTTTTTTAGTGCCAACATGATGCCACAAGTGGAAAATCCCACAGCTGCCCTCATGTGATGGGTCACATATATTATTAAAAATATTGTGGTCGGGTGCAGCGGTTCACACCTGTAATCCCAACGCTTTGGGAGGCCAAGGCAGCGGGCGGATCACCTGAGGTCGGGAGTTCGAGACCAGCCTGACCAACATGGTGAAACCCCGTCTCTACTAAAAATACAAAAATTAGCCAGGCGTGGTGGTGGGTGCCTGTAATCCCAACTACTCGGGAGGCTAAGGCAGGAGAATCGCTTGAACCTGGGAGGTGGAGGTTGCAGTGAGCCGAGATCGCACCATTGCACCCCAGCCTGGGCGACAGAGACTCTGTCTCAAAAAAAAAGAGAAGGAAAAAAATCTTCAGGCCATGTGTATAAGGTGTATAGGAAACATAAATGATTTCTGTGTTTAGATTTGGGTCTGATCCCAAAGATATTAAATATATGCAAATATTCCAAAGTCTGAAAAAATCCAACATCCAAAAACACTTCTGACCCAAGCATTTCAGATAAGGGACCAGAATTATTAGATTAAATAAGGTATATTATTAAGTTAATTTTACCTGTTTCTGCTTATTTTTTTAATGTGAGTACTAGAGTATTTAAATTTACATATGTGGCTTGCATTATCTTTCTATTGGACAGCACTGCCTAAGTAACTTTTTAAAATCCCTACACCCAAGGAAACATATAGATTAAGTAGCATGCTCAAAGAGTCCTACAGTTAGGATATAGTGCCAGGTTTTAACCCAGATCAGTGTGAATTCCAAGCCTAGGTTCTGCCTACCACACCAGCAGCCTCCCTCCATGGGTTTTGAGATAGGATGAGGAGATAAAGTGACAAGGGAAAGATACAGAGAGGTGGAGCACTGTACCTTCTTTGAATCCTTGCAGGTGGACAGGTAGACAGCTGTGGGGAAAGATTGAGAAGGGATGGGATGCTGGAGTGGTAGAGGTGGAGGGCAGAGGGATGGGTGTCAGGCTCTTGGGAGTAGGTGGGGAAAGTCCACCAACCTCAGGTCATGGTCAGGGTAGGGCTGACACTTACCAGCCCAGCCCAGTGCCTTGAAGAGCCCAAGCAGAAGAAAGGCAGACAGGAAAAGGCCTACGCTGTCCTCAAGGGAGGGCCCTGAAAGACCTGGCAGGCAGAAGGGGTGAGAGTGAGCTCCTGTCTTCCTGGGTGCTGGCTCAGATTCCGCAGAGCTCCCAGCTCTTACCTGCTACCTCCAGGGTGACCTCAGCGCTGCGCCCCGAGGCAGGCAGGCTGGGATGGTGAATTCGACAGGCATAGCGTGCCCCATGCTGCTCAGTGGTGACTGGGGGCGGCTGCAAGTGCCCAGAGAGGCTGACAGAGCCATCGGAATGGTGGCGCAGGGCCGAGAGCCACCTCTGCCCCTCGGCCTTCTGAGAGCGGCCCCCTGGGCCACCCCGGAGTTCCCACTCCACCTCCAGGCCCCCAGAAGGGTAGAAGTGGGACACAAGGCAGAGCAATTCCGGGGGTGCCTCCCCTGGGGCGGCCCGTGCAAGGGTTGCTGGCATCAGGGACACTTTGGGGGGTTCTGGGGAAAGAGGACGAAATGAGCATAGGGAAATCAGTCCATACTGTCCTCCCTAAGAGACCCTCAGTTTGCCTGCTGGCTTCCTCAGAACTAAAGAAGGTTAGGTTTCTTCTCCTGAAATAGGGAACCCACTGTCTCTCCATTGGTGCGTCACAGAAATACCCATGTCAAAGCCCCTCAAATTTCCAGGAAACTTCTAGCCTCCCATTACCCCTCTAACTCCCAGGAACCTCTTTCTATCTCTACTTACTTGCCCAGGCACCCTCTTATCCATCATCCCTCCCCCTATTACGGTCCCCACAATCCAGTGCCCACCCTCTACCCCTGGAGACCTCTGTCCCCCAACTCACTGTACACAGCAAGCTCCAGGGTGACCTGTCCTTGCAGGTATGGCAGGTGTATGGTGGCCAGATAGGTGCCCTCCTGAAAGGGTTGAACTGTAGGCAGCCAGAAGGTCCCATTTCCGGTCCATGGGCCCCATGGCTCATCATCATCCCAAGCAGCAAATGCCACGGCCCCTTCTTGGGCTGCTGGCATCTGGCCATTCAGCCCAGGAGTTGCAGCCAGGAGCAGATGTCCCTTACCCAGGTGCTGGCGTCGCCACTCTAGCCCAAAGGGAGGGGGACCCGGAGCCAGAGATGAGGCGGCCTCGGAGGTGGGGGGCATGTAGGCAAAGCTCAAGTCCAGCAGAGCATCTTGTCCCAGTCTCACTCGAGGGGCAGGGGTGTGGGTGAGGACAGTCAGTACCACTGAGGAAGACAGGGAGATGAGGGGTTGGGAGGGGCATGAGGGAGAGAAAGAAGGAGAAAAAAATAGAGAAATGCAGTTATTGGGGAGGGCTAAACTGCAGTTTACCCACCCCTCAGAGGACACCTTTTCTGATACTCACCATTTCCTAGCCCTCCCTGCAAACTCCTTTTGCTCTGCGACTGGGTGGCACCTAGTGTGGCTGAGGGTGAGCAGAGAGGTCTAGGGGTGGTGAGTAGGGGCAATGAGGGGGTATGGCCTTTGAAGCCTACTCTGAACACATAGCACACTCTAGCTCGGGGGACTGCAGAATCCGAGGCCACTTCTGACACAACCTGAACCACTCTATCTCCAAGCACCACCCTTGAGGAACCAGGCCTTTCTTGATTACAGGCGAAGACAATGATTGAGCCATGACTGTCAGTCTTGTGGTGCTGTACAGAATATTTACTGACTCTAGAAGGTTCCAGCTCTAGCCTAGACCTGAGCACAGACCTCTATGCTCTACTGAAGCAGTACAGTGCAGTGGCTAAGTGCCTGGAGCCTGGCTGACCGGGTTCAAATCCCCTCTGCAGCTTATTTATATGGCCTTGGGCCACTTCCTTTTTCCATGGCTCAGCTTCCTAATCTCTAAAATTAAAAGTTGATGATAATAATAGTACCTACTTCATGAGGTTGTTGTGATGGTTAAATCATTAATACCTCTTGCTACTCAAGTCTATTCAGTTCCCAATTTTAGATAACAGAGACACCTACCCATGAAGGGTGCTTACAACACTGTCTGGAACACAGTAAGTCTACACGTGTTTGCTATAGTTACACCTAACTTAGCATACCCCAAGTCAACAGCATCTCTGCAACATTCCCCACCCTGCTCCAATGCCCATCTTCCCTGTCTTTGATGAATGATCACCAAGCCCGCCAGACACTAAAAGCAAACCCTTGGAGTTACTCAGACTCATTTATTCATTCAGCAACTATTGAGCACTGAAGATGTTCAAGGTATCCTGGTAGAAGACAGAATGGTGAACAAGACAAGCAGTCCCTGCTCTCAAATTGCCTATAGTCCAATGACAGACAAGCAAATTGTCAAAAATAATGTGCTATGTGCTATCCCCACCAGGACCTAACAGATCTCACATCTGTTTCCAATTTAGGTTCTCATCAATGTACGTTTAGACAATTACAACAGCCCTCCTGTCTGGTCTCCCTATTCTCAGTCTCTCCTTCAACTCCTTCTTCACACTGTAGCCAAACAAAGTGACTACAAGTCTGATCCCATCACCTACCTGTTTAAAAATCCCAAATATGGGCCAGACGCAGTGGTTCATGCCTATAATCCCAGCACTTTGGGAGGACGAGGCGGGTGGATCACCTGAGTTCGGGAGTTTGAAACCAGCCTGACCAACATGGTGAAACCCCGTCTCTACTAAAAATACAAAATTAGCCTGGTGTGGTGGCACATGCCTGTAATCCCAGCTACTCGGGAGACCGAGGCAGTAGAATTGCTTGAACCCGGGAAGCAGAGGTTGCGGTGAGCCGAGATTGTGCCATTGCACTCCAGCCTGGGCAATAAGAGGGAAACCCCGTTTCAAAAAAAAAAAAAAAAAATCCCAAATACGGCCAGGCGTGGTGGCTCACACCTGTAATCCCAACACTTTGGTAGCCTGAGGCGGGTGGATTACCTGAGGTCAGGAGTTCAAGACCAGCCTGGCCAACATGGCAAAACCCTGTCTCTACTAAAAATACAAAAATTAGCCAGGTGTGGGGGCAGGCACCTGTAGTCCTAGCTACTTGGGAGGCTGAGGCAGAAGAATCACTTGAACCTGGGAGGTAGAGGTTGCCGTAAGCTGAAATCATGCCACTACACTCCAGCCTGGGCAACAGAGTGAGACTCCGTCTCAAAACTAAATAAATAAATAAAATAAAAATCCCAAATACCTAGGAAGTCAGCTGATAAAGGCATAGGCTGAAGCTATATGGCCTGGGTTCAATTTCTAGCCCTGCTTCTTTTTTTTTTTTTTTTTTTTTTTTTTGAGATAGAGTTTTGCTCGTCACCTAGGCTAGAGTATAGTGGTGTGATCTTGGCTCACTGCAACCTCTGCCTCCCAGGTTCAAGTGAGTCTCCTGCCTCAGCCTCCTGAGTAGCTGGGATTACAGGCGTCCACAACCGTGCCCAGCTAATTTTTGTATTTTTGGTAGAGATGGGGTTTCACCATGTTGCCCAGGCTGGTCTTGAACTCCCGACCTCAGGTGATCCGCCTGCTTTGGTCTCCCAAAGTGCTGGGATTACAGGCATGAGCCACCACGCCTGGCCTCTAGCTCTGCTTCTTACACACTGTGTGTCCTTGGGCAAATTATTTAACTGGTTTGTGTCCTATATTTATCCATATGCAATACAGGGATAATATTAAAACCTACAACCTATGGTTGTTGAGAGGAATAAGTGAGATTATGCATATAAAGTGCTTAGAACAGGGCCTGGCATATAGAAAATACTTGATAAATGTTAGCTGTTACTATTTTCATTACCTTCATCACTATCATGGACTTGCTGGTTAACTTGGAAAAATCATTTAACCTGTATTTTCCTCACTAGTCCAAAGATCTGACCTTTGCCTATCTTTTAAAAGAATCAAGTAAAATAACAGGCTTTTTCCGGGCATGGTGGCTAACACATGTAATCCCAGCACTTTGGGAGGCTGAGGCGAGTGGATTACCTGAGGTCAGGAGTTCGAGAGCAGCCTGGCCAACATGGTGAAACCCCATCTCTACTAAAAATACAAAAAAAAAAAAAAAAAAAATTAGCGGGGCGTGGTTGTGGGTGCCTGTGATCCCATCAACTTGGGAGGCTGAGGCAGGAGAATTGCTTGAACCCAGGAGGCAGAGGTTGCAGTGAGCCAAGATCACCCCATTGCACTCCAGCATGGGTGACAAGAGTGAAACTCCGTCTCAAAAAATAAATATGTACATAATAAAAACAGGCTTTTTAGAATAACACGCCCTCCAAAAGAACTTCTGATGGTTCGCTCTCACCTACAGAACAAAGCCCAGCTTTCAAGGTATTTGAACATTCAGCCCCTAACCCACCCTTCCAGGCTTCTCCTGCACCCTACAAACCAGCCACATAGAACCCCTTTCTTGTGCCTAGTAGAAGTGGTCATCATTGGTCATCTCTTTGCTTTGGTCATGAGGTCCCTTCAGTTTACATTGTCTTTCCCATTTTCTCCCAAACATCTATCAAGCTTGTCCAACCTCCAGCCCAGGGACCACATGCAGCCAAGGACGGCTTGGAATACAGCCCGACACAAATTCATAAACTTTCTTAAAACATTATGAGATTTTTTCACATTTTTTTTTTTTAGCTTATCAGCCATCGTTAGTGTTCGTATATTTTATGCATGGCCCAAGACAATTCTTCTCCCAGTGTGGCTCAGGGAAGCCAAAAGATTGGAGACCCCTGATCTAAATACTCCATGTACATGAAGGTCACTTTCACTGCTGTTTCTTCCCAGAAATGTCTAGGTCCTTCAGGTAGAAGTAATCTTTTTCTTCTTGTAATTATTTTTATGTTCTTTTTAATCCTAGCTTCTGAGGCCTATAAGGTTAAACTGTTCTCATCTTCATGGAATTGTTCAGTAGAGTAAAAACAGTATGCAATTTCACTTAGTTTGTCAAAATCCAGAAACATACTTTTGAATTGTTAAAAAAAAAAAAAAGATCCACAGGCTGGGCACAGTGGCTCACGCCTGTAATCCCAGCACTTTGGGAGGCCGAGGCCGGTGGATCACCTGAGGTTGGGAGTTTGAGACCAGACTGGAGAAACCCCGTCTCTACTAAAAATACAGAATTATCCGGGCATGGTGGCACACGCCTGTAATCACAGCTGCTTGGGAAGCTGAGGCAGGAGAATCACTTGAACCTGGGAGGCGGAGGTTGTGGTGAGCCGAGATCATGCCATTGCCCTCCAGACTGGGCAACAAGAGCAAAACTTGATCTCAAAAAAAAAAATCCATAGAATTAATAAACAAAACCTGGCTGGGCAGGGTGGCTCAGACTTGTAATCCCAGTACCTTGGGAGGCTGAGGTGGGAGGATCACTTGAACCCAGCAGTTTGAGACCAGCCTGGGCAACATAGCAAGACCCCATCTCTATTTAAAAGAAAAAATTTAAAAAAATAATAAACAAGACCTAAAGGTTTTACAGTTTAACTCTTTTTTTTTTTTTTTTTTTTTTGGAGACAGGGTCTCACTCTGTCACCCATCAAAGGTGCAATCCTCCCAACACAGCCTCCCGAGTAGCTGGGACCATAGGTACATGCCACGACACCCAACCTTTTTTTTTTTTTTTTTTTTTTGAGACAGTTTCACGCTTGTTGCCCAGGCTGGAGTGCAGTGGCATGATCTTGGCTCACTGCAACCTCCGCCTCCCAGGTTCAAGCAATTCTCTTGCCTCAGCCTTCCGAGTAGCTGGGATTACAGGCATGCACCACCATGCCTGGCTAATTTTGTATTTTTAGTACAGACGGGGTTTCTCCATGTTGGTCAGGCTGGTCTTGAACTTTCGACCTCAGGTGATCTGCCCACCTCGGCCTCCCAAAGTGCTGGGATTACAGGCATGAGCCACTGCGCCCAGCATTTTTTTAATTTTTAGTAGAGACAAGGTCTGGTTATGTTGCCCAGGCTGGTCTTGAACTCCTGAGTGCAAATGATCCTCCCACCTAGACCTCCCAAAGTGCTGGAAGTACAGGCGTGAGTCACCTCACCTGACTCCATAATATTTTAAAAGAATGGTGAGAATTAAACACTATACACACAAAGTATATTAAGAAAGTATAGGCCTGGCGTGGTGGCTCACGCCTGTAATCCCAGCAATTTGGGAGGCTGAGGTGGGTGGATCACCTGAGGTCAGGAGTTCAAGACCAGCCTGGCTAACATGACCAAACCCTGTCTCCACTAAAAATACAAAAATTAGCTGGGCCTGGTGGTGGGCGCCTGTAGTCTCAGCTACTTGGGAGGCTGAGACAGGAGAATTACTTGAACTCAGGAGGCAGAAGTTGAAATGAGCAGAGATCACACCATTGCACTCCAGCCTGGGCAACAGGGTGAGACTCTGTCTCAAAAAAAAAAAAAAAAAAAAAAAGTATATTTGGGGCCAGGCAGCTCACACGTGTAATCCCAGCAGTTTCGGAGGCCAAGGTGGGCAGATCAATTGAGCCCAGGAGTCCAAGACCAGCCTGGGCAACCTGACAAAAACCCATCTCCACAAAAAAAATACAAAAATTAGCTGGGCATGGTGGCACATGCCTGTGGTCTCAGCTACTCAGGAGACTGAGGCACGAGGATCACTTGAGCCACGGAGGTGGAGGTTGCAGTGAGCTGAGATCATGCCACTGCTCTCCAGCCTGCACTGCACTCCAGCCTGGGCGACAGAGGGAGACCCTGTCTCAAATAAATAAATAAATAAGCATATTTGTCAATAAACATTTAAAAATATTTGATAAGACAAGTATAAATGTATATTAGCAAAATCATGAATGATCTTGGACCCTGGAGAGATTTCATTTCTAATTTTACATCAGTACAACAGCTTTCATTTTCTTAAATCCCTGATCAAGCAGAAATGCTTGAAAAGAAAGAGCACAGCAGGCCGGGCGTGGTGGCTCATGCCTGTAATCCCAGCACTTTGGAAGGCCAAGGTGGGTGGATCACCTTAGGTCAGGAGTTCAAGACCATCCTGGCCAACATGGTGAAACCTGTCTCCAATAAAAATACAAAAATTAGGTGGGCGTGGTGGCACAAGCCTGTAATCCCAGCTACTGGGGAGGCTAAGGCACAAGAATTGCTTGAACATGGGAGACGGAGGTTGCAGTGAGCCAAGATCATGCCACTGCAACTGCACTCTAGCCTGGGCAATAAGAGGGAGACTCCGTCTCAAAAATAAATAAATAAATAAATAGCAGGCAGGCGCAGTGGCTCACGCTTGTAATCCCAGCACTTCGGGAGGCGAGGTGGGAGGATCACCTGAAGTTGGGAGTTCGAGACCAGCCTTACCAACATGGAGAAACCTCATCTCTACTAAAAATACAAAATTAGCTGGGTGTGGTGGCAGGCACCTGTAATCCCAGCTACTCGGGAGGCTGAGGCAGGAGAATTGCTTGAACCAGGGAGGCGGAGGTTCCGGTGAGCGTGAGATCACGCCATTGCACTCCAGCCTGGGCAACAAGAGCAAAACTCTGTCTCAAAAATAAATAAATAAATAAAATAAAAATAAATAAATAGCACAGCACCTTGCTTTGACCCCAGTTGTTTGTGAAATACAGACAATCTTACCACCCGGGCACTTCCAGGGCTCCCTGTCTGCATGTCCTTCACTTTCTACTTTACATTAGGATTATCCGTGGCAAATACGCCCAGAACCTCCTGGAGAGCAGAGTCTACATCAGATCATCTTTGTGACCCTTAAGGGCACCCAGGGCCACCCCAGAGATTCTGATTTAATCGGCCAAGCTAAGCATGGGATTGAATCAGGTTTCAGTATATTTTAGAAACCTCCAACAGTGTGGACTGAGAACTGCTGAGTCCTAACTCATTCTTGGTGCTAAAAAGTATTTATTGAATCAATGGATAAATTAACACAGTGCCATCTCTTGATAGTCACAACAAGAAAAGCAGCTGGGAAATAGTATCCACATTTTACAGTTGGAAAAACAAACTCAGAAAGCAAAGACCATTCTCATCATCACCTCGGTGGAGCCAGTAGCCCTAGGAAATATTCCACCCCACCAGAGAGAGCTACTGTCTACACAAGAGCAGTGTTCCTCAGCTTCTGCCAGGGTGGGGGCTTGAGACTAAGAATGGAGGTATAGGCAGAGGTGAGGGTTTCAGCGTGGGTTTCAAGTCTGTCTCCCTGGTTCTGTGGGTAATTCTCAGGAGGGTGGAGGGAAGGGAGGGTGCAGGGATTGGTTGGGGTTGCCCTGTCCATCGGGCTGTGTCGCTGACATAAAATCCAGATAGAAAAGCTAAGAACTCTACCGGTATTCTACCCCGGAATACCCCGCCTCCGCTGCCAGGAGGGAGAGCTCCCAGATATCCAGGTCAGACTCTCCTCATTCTTGAATTATCTGCACAGTCCCTCCCACGTCCCAGCCTAGAAAAGCTTCTGACTCCTGGGCCTCAAACTGCAATGCACCTTTCAGTGCAATAGGAGCTATCCAATCTCCAGCCGCGTCCATCCGCCCACTCGAGCCCACCTGTTTGCGGACCACAGAGCGGCAGCACATCCCTACACGGGGCTGTCAGGCAAGGTCAACGCGCTAGAGTGCAAGAGCCTTTGCTTTGCGGATTGCCGCAGCGCCGGGTGTGGGCGCAGGTGGGGATAGAGTGCTGGGTTTTGAAAGAGTGACCCGCAAAGCTGAGGGTGCAGAGCAAGACACAGATCTGGGAAGAGCAGAGAAAAAACGCTCCTGCTTCTGAACCCCTCCCACCTCGCATCACCTGACAAGTCTCTCAAGGTCTGGTGTCGGGAAACCCCACCTCTTCAAAGCCCCGCCCTTCGAAACACCAGAAAGTAACCCCCCTGCCCGGCCCTGCTTTCCCCCTACCCCCTGCCAAGCTGCAGTTTTTTTTTTGTTTTTTTTTTTTAACTGGGTGAGGGCTAGAAGGAGCGGTAGAGATTGATTCATTCTAGCCAAACCACCTCTCTTAACAAAAAAAGGAAACTGAACCCCGATTGGCGAAATGTCTTGCTCAAGTCCATAAAGCGAGACCACCGGCTGATCTGGACCCTTAGAATCTACCCACCCTTCTCCACCTCCCCTCCCCAGCTACCTGTTGCCATGGTGATGAGAACAGGCTCCTGCTGAGGCTCTGGCTGTGGTCGCAAGAGGCTGGAGAGGCTGAGGACTGGGCTGGATATGCTGACCATCAGCCAAGCCCCATCCAGGGCCCGCGGGCAGTTCTGCGCGGGGGTCAGGCCGCTGGCCCATTTCGCAGAGGCGGGGAGAGGCACGAAGCGGCTCATCTCGCAGTGTGGTGCGGGGGCGCCCCGGGGATACCGCCTGAAGGCAGCCTGGAGGGCGCCCGCGGGGTCTGAGTGTAGAGAAGGAAGTTGCAGCTGTAGAGTCACCGCCGGGAAAGGGGCTGGAAGGGCAGCGTTCGGGGAACTTCAAATGCACAGACTACCCCGTAGTGAGACTCACTTTACAAAGGGGAAGCTGAGGCCTGAGGTCACTGCCGGATCTAAAGAGGAGGGGGTTTCGGTGGAGGCGACAGAGGTAGGGGGGCGGCGAGTCCCTAGAGACTCACCGTGTACACTGAGATAGAGCTCAGGGTCGAGGTCCGGCCGGGGCGGCGGTTCCCCCGGTCCCTGGCGCAACAGCAGTGCACCGGGTCTCTTGGCCAGGCCCTTTCCGCTCGCATCCTCCACGAACCAACACTCGATCACCGCGGGTCCTGCTGAGACGGCGGTCGCCAGGCCTGGCGTATAGGGACGCGAGTGAGGAGCGGTTTGTATGTCTGGTGACCTGCCCCACTCCCACCCTGGCATCGGCTCCAGTGGGGCCACCTCCCTCCGCTTCCCTCTAGTTCTTGGGCGATGAGTCGCGGGGTTCGCTCACCCAAAGCCACAGCGAGGAGCAGAGACAGGGACTTCATGGCGCTGCGACCTCCTCAGCCATGAAGCCTCCTCTTCCTCCTTTCACTTTCACTTTCCTCCAAAGGGCGGCATGAGGGGCGGTGGAAATCCCCGCTCTGGTTAGGTGAAGGTGCCTGGGGGACCGGTGTTTCCCCACTGGCCAGGCAGGGACCCGGGTAGATCCTCTCCAGTTCTCACCAGGACACCCCAGCCTTACCGCGCCCTCCTGGACTACCCAGCAGCCCCGAGTTCGAGCCCTCCCCAACCCCAGGCCCTCCCCCGCCCCCCAACTCCTGTGTGTGCTCTCCAACATCCACTTGCCCGAAAACCATTACTCCGGCTTCCCCCTATCTGTGCCGCGTCCCCAGCAAACACACGGGTTATCGGGAAGCCAAGTAAATGACCAATAAATATTTTAATCACTGTTAAAAAAAATAAAAACCTTGTACTCCTACGACTTACTCCCTCCTTGTCTCCACCCACTCCTCCATGAGAACCGAGTTGGGAATTTCCACGGGAAGTCGGGGGTGGCGGGGAGAGACAGGGTAGAAATAAAGAGCGCATCCTTGAGAGGGGGTAGGTTCTAGGACAAGGGTGGGGCTCAAAGGCCTTGTCTCCACGACAACACAAACACAGACTTCAGGCACAGACTACAACCACCTGACCCCTGACCCTGTGACTGCAGGATGTTCAACACGCCCCCTCTCCCTCCCTCCATGTGCAATCTACTCTGTGGAGCAGGGGCTTCAGTGTACCCATCAGAGGGAAAGGAAGGGTTTAGTTCTGGAAATACCTTGGGGGGGAGGGGTTGAGTAGTAGAATGGGCGGGCGATGGTGAAACTGTGGTTCCCCTTCCAGAATATATACAAGTCCACAGAGATAAAGGAAGACAGTAAGTGTGGTGGGAGATCACCCGGGGGCCACAGCGCCCTTGCATCGTGCTCCTTATTCCCTTTCCCGAAAGCTACCCCACCCCAGTAGCCTGCCCCTTCAGTTTGCTCCTCCACCTCCACCGAAGCCCATCTCCACCTTGTGGACTCTGGGTGGGGACCAGACACGTCTGCTGGACGGGGGCGTGGCCGCACTCGCTTCGTCGCCGCTGCCCCCGCCCACTCCGGGAGACTCTCTCTTGGACGGCAAGGATGGCCCCGTGGGAGTCCCAGGCCCAGGTACGGCCCCGACCCCGCCCAGGCGGTGCCGGCGCTCACAGTGTCCTCGGTGGCGCATGAAGCTGTCTCGCCACATGAACTTCTTGGCGCAGACTCCGCACTCGTAGGGCTTGAGACCTGTGTGCGTCTTCATGTGCTCAGTCAGATGGTGCTTCATCTTGAACTTTTTGTTGCACACGGGGCAGTCAAACGGCCGCAGATTGAGGTGCATGTTCACGTGCCGGTCCCGCATGCTCTTGTGGGAGAAGGCCTTCCCACAATGGCACAGAAAGATCTTATTCCCGTCCCCACTGCCAGTCCCTCCAGGGACCCCACCAACGCTACCCGGCACACCCAGGCTCCCCACCGACGTGCCCCCCACGGTCACTGCCCCGTGTTCTGCTTGGTTCCCTGGTGGTTGGCCAGGAGCCTGTGAGGATGAGGATGAAGACGACGACGGGAAGACCAGGATCTGGTTGCCCTGCATGTCCAAGGGAAGGAGCGGTCGAGGAGGGTGGGAGGGGGCATAGGAAGAGGGAGTTGGCCCCCCTGAGTCATCAAGACCTGCCACAGGACCCCCACCCTCATATGGGCCAAAGTCATTGGAGGACTCACAGAAGTTGACCTGCTCCTCCCCCTTGTCTGGGGGCTCACTCAGGGTACGGACATCACTTATGCTGAGGGTAGCCTCAGGCCCTCCCCCCACTGGAACCCTGGAGCTACCCCCTAGTTCTTCATCTTCATCATCCTCACAGGTCAACACCAGATCTTCCTCCTCCTCTTCCTCCTCCAGATCTGGGTCTTGGGGAACCAGGGGTGTTGGCGCTGGGCAATTACCACCTCGCTTCACGTATACCCAGTGTTTCTGTGGCATGATGCTAGGGGGTGTGTAGGTGGGTCTCCGGAGCCCAGCCCCAGGAACCACTGCCCCCCTCCCATCCCCACCATCATCGCACAGCTCATCTGCCTCCAGCAGCAGCTTTCCAGATGTGGCCCCTCCACTGCCAACGACAGGGGCTGGGAATACAGGGCCACCTCCTCGACGCTCCCCACTGCCCACTGCAGAAGCTGCAAATGCCTCTTGGGAGGAAGATGAGAAATCAGTGGACTCCCTGGGGCTGAAGTAGTTGCTGCTGCTGGGAGATTGATTCTCACTGGCCCGGCTGGAGGCATGGGAGCGCGCAGAGCCCATGGTAGCAGGGGCCACAGTGCCCCCACTCCCGGATGGCACCCCAGCACCAGGGACAGTGACAGAGGTGGCTGCAGCAGTAGTGATGGTGGTGGTAGCTGAGGCCCGGCCTTCTCGGAGTAGTTCAGTGCACTTGTCCACAATGTGCCACATTTGGAGCACAGACCCCACTGTAAGGAAGTTGACAATGTCAGCAGCAGCCATGCTGAGGCGGCCAGTGTAAGCGGAGGCTAGGACAGTCTCAAAGGCGCCTGGGTCCATGACACTGGGCAGCGAGATGGAGGTCATGCCTTTGAGTAGGACCTGATCATGGAAGTAAGGGGAGGAGGCAGCCAGGACAGCCCGATGAGCCCGGAACTCCCGGCCCTGCACTCTGATAGATACATCGCAGAGCTGGCCCTGCAGACGCTGCTGATTGAGGGACTCCAAGAGGGCACTGGTCACCTCAGGGAAGGACACATGTACCACTGCAGCTGCTGGCAGGGGTAGTGGGGGCGGAGCCAGCGACAGCGGCAGGGGAAGTGCTGCCCCACTGGGAGACAGAGGAGATGGCTCCATGTTGTGGAGGGAGGGGATACCCCCCCAGCCACAGGAACAAAGAAAGGAGGAGGGCGGCCGGGGGGGTCTCTGGGAAGAAAAAGAGAAAAGAATAATGATAACATCTCATAACGACACAGCCCGTTACAACTCAAAAATATGTTCACGCTCATTATCTGTGTAACTCCCCACAACAGTGAGGTAGGTATTCCTCTCAACCCCATTTGACAGATGAGGAAACTAAAGCTCAGAAAGATTAAGAGATTATCCAAGGTCACACAGCAAGTGGCAGCGCCAGCAAACACAGGTATCTGACAAATCTTGTGCCCTTTCCTTGGAGGTTAGAGAAATAAGGTGCTCTTAGGGGCTGGAGTGGCTTCCTTCGGAATTATACCCTATTTCCGACTTACCTGAGAGCCTGACATTCCAAAATCTACCTTTTTGGTGTTTTGCACCCACTTTTTGGGAGGGGGCAGGGCAGCTCTGCTACTGAAAACCAACGCTTGCTCCATCTCCCCTCAGGCTATGCCCCCCAAGCTCTCTCGCCGACCACGCCCCCTTTCGCCCCAGCTTCTCTAGCCCCGCCCCTTTCCAGGCCCACCCCCCCCGTGCCCCGCCCACTATCGGGCCTTTCGACCCCGCCCCTTGTCTACCTCCGCCCACAACGGACCCCGCCCCCCCCCGCTCCGCCCCAAGCGCTACCTCGGCCTCTTCTCCCACCCGGAAGGCGCCCCCCAACCTCGCGCGTCCCCGCTTACCGGGCCGCGCGCCCCCGGGCCCCCCCCGCCCCTCACTCGGCGGCCAGAGCAGCAACCTGGGCCCCTCCCGCCGCCATCTTGCGCCGACTCCCTCCGCCCTCCGCCTCCGCTCCGCCTCCCGCCCCTCCGCCTTTAAAGGCACAGCCGGGCACCCCGCCCGTGCCGCTGGGCAATACTCGGCCGACTCGGCCACTTTGCCTTTAAAGAAACATCGCCACATTCCACCTTAAAAGATCAGGTCCCCTCCTCCGCTGGGAGCTCAGGACTTGGTTCGGCCGAAGCATTTATTCCCCTTTAAAGCTATAAGCCTGCCTTTTCCCATTGGCGATGGGTCCAGGTATCGTTCCCCAGGCTCCGCCTCTGAGCTGTGACCATTAGCTGGTTGGTGGGATCTAATCGCCCTCTTCCTAGCTCCTTACAGTCCCACTGAAGCCCCGCCCCCTTTCTCCGGGCCTGGATTGGCTAAATAACCTTGAGTCGGCCCCTCATTGGCTTTCTCACTCCTACTGCACGAAGTGAAAAAGTAAAGTGCGTTAAGGCGGCTGAAGCACTTAAAAAAAAAAAAAAGTACTGCCTGAACAACGTGGCGAAACCCCGTCTCTACAAAAAATACAAACAACAAAAACAAAAATTAGCCAGGCATGGTGGCACGCGCCTGTAGTCCCGGCTACTCGGGAGGCTGAGGCATTATCGCTTGAGACTGGGAGGTCCAGGCTGCAGTGAGCTGTGATCTCACCACTGCACCCTGGCCTGGGCGACACAGCGAGACAAAAAAAAAAAAAAAAAAAAAAAGGCCAGGCTAGAAAGGACAGAGCGGGACTACCCCGGGGATACTGGGCTAACCCTGAGCAAGGGGACAGCTAATGCCAATCTGTAACAGTAGAAGGACAAGAAAAAGACAGTGATACAGTAAGAAAAGAACTTTATTGTTTATTAATGTTTCTGTGTAAAACTTAAGCTTTTTTTTTTTTTAAAGAAACACCACCAAAAGGGGATTAGCTTAGTCCATCCCTTCCTCAGTCATCTGCTTCCCACCTTCCTCCAAATGTTATCCCAGAACATTCTGGAGGCAGGGAGAAGGGGAGGCAGCTAATCAGAGTCTGAGAGCACGATGATCTCTTCTGGATCGCATTGTGTGGCCACACTTGTCTGCAGGGAAGTGAGAGACAAAGAGTCAAAGAGATCTGGAGTACAGGAGAAAAGAAACAGGAGGATTTAGAGGATAAAATGGGTGGGAAAAAGGAAGAGACAGGATGTGGCACGTGGAATATTCAGACAGAGCAGCTGAAACAGCCAATGAAAGAGAACAAATTGTCAGAGGAAACACGCCCTCCCCTTCTTACCTTGCAAGTACCAGGCCGAGGAGGCTGTGAATGGGGGGTTTGGGACAGCCGGGCTGGAGAAGGGATGCAGAGGGAGCTGGTCACCAGGCCATGGCTGGGAGAGTCCACCCTCGTGGAGGAATCAGCAACTGGGGCCAAGGAAGCCAAGGGGGAAGGTGGGCTGGGCAGGGTACATATCTTTTTCCCATTCTTCTCATGCACTGACCTTTGCCTTTCCACATAGCTAGAAACAGAAACATAAATATGTGGAGGGGTACGGGAAGACTGAGGCTGGAGGGGGGCAGTCCAGTCTCTCCCAGCAGACTCAGTTCCCCAGTATTGCTCTCCGAAAGTCCCCTGCAATCCCTCCTTGGCTTCCCTCTTCCTCCTCCTCTTGTTATTACCTGTTTCCTAATGGCCCTGATCCTGTTTGCTTCTTCTCCTTCCGAGATTTTTTGCAGGGGGGACCAGAATCTCCCCAGTTGTGAGGAGAGACGCCTCCATTGAAGGAAGTAGAAGAGACCATGCCTGCTCCATTCTCTAAGACAGTGGTGAAGGGCTCCTCTGATTGCTTCCTGGAAGAGGAAATGTCCGTCTCCACAGAGGAAGGGGTATCCAGGGGCAAAGCTTCAATCTCTAGCTCAAAGAGCTGAGACACAGGGCTTTCTTCCTCCAGGGTCAGCTCCTCAGGCTGTTCTCCATTGCTTTCAGCATCTATGCTGGAGGGGGCCAGGGGTTCTTCTGACAGTAACGATGGTGACACTATGCGTCCTTTGTTTTGCTGCTCCCCTGAAGATCTGCTGATCTGTTTGCCAGGTTCCAGGTTCTTTTCATTGGAGATCTGTAGTGAGGACATGGGGCTCTTGTCTCCATCTTTACCTGGAAAAGAAGAAAAGGGGAGAGGGTAGCCTGAGAATGAGGGGGAAAAAATACTGCTGAGAGGACACTAGGAGGAGGAAGGGAAAGGTTTCAAACAGGTGGCTCATGCCTAACAAAACAGAAATGACAGGTGAGGAGAATGTTCCCTTGACATACCTGCTGCTGCTTCTTCCTCTTCGTCCTCCTCTTCATCATCCTCCTGACCCTCCTGCATCTGTTCCAGATCCTCCTCCTCTTCAGAATCTGTGGCCTCCTCCTCTTCTTCTTCCTCCTCCTCCTCCTCTTCCTCATCACTCTCCTCATCGTCTTCGTCATCTGTCTCAGCTCTGGAGGCAGAAGGGCACCCCTGGGATGCCATTCCACTAGGGCCCTGGGAGACAAAGAAGTTTCTCTAAGGAATCCCTTGCCCCAGAGGGTTTGGTTCTTGCTTTCCTTCTCATGCTCCCCCATCAGTCAACCTGGACTCCCTGGTGGCCAGTGCAGGGGAAGGACAATGTCTCTCTGAAGGCTGTACCCCATCCACACCTCACCAGAATCCAAGGAGGCTTCGGGGGTGTCTGCAGAGTGGGAAGAGGTGCCTTGGAGCCGAGCTCTTCTCTTTTTTCTCTCGCCCTCCTCACTTTTGTCTTGCAACATTGCATATTTGGAGATGACCTCATCCAGCCGACTCATGGCCAAACTCCGGTTTTCCCGAAGGCGCCGGGCCAACACAGGATCTGATAGTGCAGGGTCAACGCCTACGTGGGAAGACATAAAGTCAGAGCACTCAGCCCTTGAAGGGACTAGAAGAGTAAAAACCCTAGAAAGGACTAGAGAGATGCCCCATCCGCCTCATACCTGACATATAAGGGTCACTGAGAGGCATCCCACCAACCCCCTACCTGGCCTATAGTCATCTGTGAGGTGGCAGCCAAAGTTGTAGATGAGATCGAGGTGACGTCGCTCCTGTAACCTGATGCCCACATCTCGGAAGGCATCCTGAGCCATGAGCTGGAGCTGCTGTCGGGGGAGGCCAAGGCTGTGTCGGGCAGCTGCCTTCTCTACAGCCCGAAGCACATCCCCATAGTCAGGGAAGGTATCAGGCCCTGGCTTGTTGATGAGCCGCTCAATGCGCCTGTTAACCTCTGGGTAGCGGGTGCCACGGTAGGGGATGCGCTGCTCTATGACACGGCCGGTCAGTGAAGAGCAGTCTTTCAGCTCACATAGTCGCCCAAAGAGGCGGATCAGCTTACGCTTCAACCGTGCCTCCTGCAGGTATGCGGAGTCTGGGTCATCCAATTCTGAGAGATCCAACTCCTTTTCCTGCAGCCGCCGGATCTCTGCCACATAGAGCGCCAGCAGCTGCTCCAAACGCTGGATCTGCCGCCGGGAACCACGGGTCCTTGGAGACTGAGAGGCAGTGTTTTCAGCATTTGTGGGGTCCAAGGAGAGGTGTGTGGGAGGGTTATTCCCAGAGGGCTCATTGGAGGTGGTGGCGGCAGGGGCCAAGTTCAGCTTCTTTTTGGCTGAGTGGGCCTTGAGAACAGTGCAGAGCTCATTGATGTAGACATAGAGCTTGGCTGGCCGGCTCCGGGCCCGAGACAGGACCCTAGAGAGGATGTTGCAGAACTCCGCCGAGGCCAAAAACAGAGAGTGGGCACGTTGCTGCCGGTTATAGAGGAATGGGACCACCTCAGGGTGGTCTGCTGTCTGCATCTTACAAAGTTCAAGGAACTAGAAGGTTCAGGGGAAGAAGGAAGGGGAAGAGAGACAAGGGAGGGGGTTGAGAGAAAGGGGAGGTGGGGTTAGTGGGAAAGAAAGGACAGGAGAACCAGTCAGCCATCCCCCTCCCTGGGGTACAACAATCTTCCCCGCTAAAGCTCACCTCTTCGAACAGCTTCTCATTCTCCAGCTTGTAGCATTTCTTGCCGCCCGAACTACTGCTTCCTCTGGCCCCATGAGGCTCAGAGGAGCTAGGGGCTTCTGCCCCAGGTGAGGCCGCATTGGGGAGTGGGTGGGAGGGCCCTGGCTGAGCAGCTGCTTCATCTTCGTCATCATCATCCAGCACGATGATGCTGTTAGCGGTGGCCATAGGGGATCAAATCCCCCGGAGGGAGGAAGTGGTGGGGATTTCAGAATTCCTGCTGGAAGGGGATGGGGCCTCAGAATGAGCCCCTCCAGCATAGCCCCATCCCTTCACCTCACACATTTTCTGAACTCCTTGGGTTTCAGTAACATCCAGCCCTGACCAACACTGTCTTCACCACCTGATTTCAATAACCATTAGTTCTATATGCTTTTTGGGGCCCTTCAAGTGGTGTGGGGGGGGGGCAAACCACCCCCACACCTTAAGTTGCCACCTTCTGCTCCACCCCTCACGTCGATTTCCGGTCTTTCTGTTGCATTTCCCCCCTATTTCTTAGAGTTGGCAAGTTGATTCTTCCTCCCACACTGCACCCCAAATCGTCCTGACACCCCCTTGCACAGACAACACACTCCTGTGGGCGCCACCTCATGTGTTTGCCCCCTCTGCTCTCAAACAAGTCAACCCCACACCCACCCTATCCTGAATGATCACCCCAACTCCTAGACTCTCTGAGGTGAAAGAGGTTCCCTCCCAACAGTCCGTTCTCTTTTCTCCTCCTTGAATTATCTCCATATTTCACCCTCCGATGAGTCTCCTCAAACTGGGGCTTTAGGTTGAAGATATTTTACCCAAGTCCCCTCCCTTTCACCCCACCCTAATTTTCCCCATTCTCTCGGTGACCCGTAACTGATCAAAAGTCCCCCCGCACCGCGCTACGCTCTCGCGATTCCTCTTAGATCCCAACCGTGGGTCCGGCCGGTCCGCTAGATGCGCTTCCCGCCAAATCCCCCTCCCCCAGTTCAGCCCCCGGCCGCTCCACTCCCTTTCAGGGACAGGAAGGTACCACAGCTTTCCCCTCAGACTCAGCGCCCAGCTCTCCCCAATACCTCTCCCTCTATATCCCCGCCCCCGCCTCTGATCCCCGCACCGTCCGGCCCCCACCTCAGAAACCGTCTCTCGAGGCGACCCTCGCCGCAATTCTCAGAACCTCGCATGGTTCCCTCCGCCTTCCTTCCCACTCCCACCGCAGGCCCCACTACGGACCGGAAGTCACAGAGTTTCCGCCTTCATGCAACTAAGCGCCGCCATATTGTCGTACGGAACACAGGCTTCCTGTGGCCGGAGGTGACAGTAGGCCCGCCCCGCGAACACCTCCAGTGCGGCCCACATAGTCAGCGGTCTCTTCCAGGTCGGAGTTTGTCTCCCCGAACCCAGGCGTCCCAAAGCAGCTGGGGGCCGCCATTTTGCCGTACGGCACTGGCTACGCCCGGACTCCGGTGCGCAGCCAGTGGAGCTCTTTTCACCCGGTGCTTCTACGACTCCGCCAATCAGAAACTTCCTGCCTGGGGCCCAACCGCCGGAGAGTAGCGCGTAGGGAGGACCGAGCCTCGTTTCCAAGGAGGGGCAGGGGAACCGAACAGGGTGGATTAGGAATTGGGCTTTCCAAAGCTGTGCAGAGTTTCAGGGAAGGGCAGAAGTCTCTTAAAAGGGAAGTAAAACCTTTTCTTTCAGTTGGGCTATTGGCAAGCTATCTGGCCCTGCTTTCCTGTCCCCCAGGTTCCCATTTCCACGGCTTATTCGGCTGACCCAGCCCCTTCCCCTGCAAGGGCGGCGCGCTCCTTGCCGCTGTCCAGCAGCTGTTTCTACTGCCAGGTGCTGCGTCCCGCGATCGTTATAACACATGCGTACAAATGAGCACAACGCGCCATAAAAGTGTTATTGTTATTACTATTGTTGCTGATTTGCTTTTCAAGCTTCACCACAGAACTAATGACCAGCCAGACCGTTGGGACCTGAATGGTTCTTCTCCAGAGGGGGTCCTCGAAGGGCCGTCTGTGCTGACCAGGTGGCCGTGCTTTGTCGTGGGAGGCCTAGGGTCTGCGGATGGGCGATGATGGGGTGGGGCTTGGAGGAGAGTTTGTGCAAATTGCCGCTGCGAGGGCTGCTGTGAGGCGAAATGAGGCTCATAAAATACTTTGGGTCTCCTCCTCCTCCTCTTCGGGGAGAGGGGAAAAAAGAATGAAGGATGAAGAAACAGATTTGATACCCACCTCGTTGTGTTTAGGGAGGCTGGAGGGACTCGTGGAGGCAAGGCTGGGTCCAGAGGTGAGCTTATGAGGAAACCAGAAAGATTAACAGGGTCCCAATCGCTAAGATTCCCATTTCCACAAGTGGTGGGCATCTTGCCACTTAACTAGGGTCACAGAGCTTATTAGATCCCTAACGCTGAGTCCTAGAATCGCAAACACCCGTCCGTTGAACAATCCCACATCACTTCTCTCCAGTCGTCAAAGTCTACAGCTTTCAAAATGGGGAACATAAAAACTCTCCGCGAGGACTGGGACTTGGAAGATGTAAGGGATTTAATTTCAAGAACCTCAACTTTCCCAAAATTGGTCTTCCTAAGGAAACACCTGCAGTACAGGTTCTCATTCTTCACTTCTCCTTTTACAATAGAGTCACCCTCTTAAGAAAAAAAAAAAAAAGAATAGTTCTCTTTTTTCCCCTCCCCCCTCAAAAGTATAGTTCTCAACCATGAAATCTCCTGGGGGTAATCTTACCTGTTTAAAATAAAGGGAAATGTACCCTGTTTCTTTCACCAAGGCACCATGAATACCACCTTTTCTTTTTTTTTTTTTTTTTTTTCCTTTCTTTTGTCTTTTTTTTTTTTAAATGCAGGGTCGGCCGGGCGCGATGGTTCACGCCTGTAATCCCAGCACTTTGGGGGTCCGAGGTGGGCGTATCATGGGGTCAAGAGATCGAGACCATCCTGGCCAACATGGTGAAACCCCGTCTCTACTAAAAATACAAAAAAATTAGCTGGGCGTGGTGGCAGGCGCCTGTAGCTCCAGCTACTCAGGAGGCTGAGGCAGGAGAACCGCTCGAATCCGGGAGGCGGAGGTTGCAGTAAGCCGAGATCGCGTCATTGCACTCCAGCCTGGGCGACAGAGCGAGATTATCTCAAAAAAAAAAAAAAAAAAAAAAAAAAAAAGGAAAAAAAAAGGGTCTTGTTCTATCACCCAGGCTGGAATGCGGTGGTACGGTCATAGCTCACTGTAACCTCAAATTCCTGGGCTCAAGCCATCCTCCCACCTCAAGTAGCTAGGACTACAGGCGCACACCACCTCACCTGGCTAATTTTTTTAAAAAAAGTTTTTTGTGGAGGCTGGGCGCGGTGGCTCATGCCTGTAATCCCAGAACTTTGGGAGGCCGAGGCGGGCGGATCACCTGAGGTCGGAAGTTTGAGACCAGCCTGGCCAACATGGTGAAACCCCGTCTCTACTAAAAACACAAAAATTATCTGGGCTTGGTGGCACGCGCCTGTAGTCCCAGCTACTCGGGAGGCTGAGGCAGGAGAATCGCTTGAACCCGGGAGGCGGAGGTCGCAGTGAGCTGAGATCAGCCACTGCACTCCAGCCTGGCGACAGAGCAAGACTCTGTCTCAAAAAAAAAAAAAAAAAGGTTTTTTATAGCGACAGGGTCTTACTGTGTTGCCCAGATGGATCTTGAGCTCCTTGCCTCAAGCAATCTTCCCACCTCAGCGTCTCAAAGTGCTGGGATTATGGGCGTGAACCGCCACTCCCAGACTACTATCTTATTAAATATTTCTTTTTAACAGTTATAAAAATGTTTACGATCGGCCAGGCACGGTGGCTCACGCCTGTAATCCCAGCACTTTGGGAGGCCGAGGCAGGAGGATCACGAGGGCAGGAAATCGAGACCACCCTGGCTAACACGGTGAAACCCTGTCTCTACTAAAAATACCAAAAAAAAAAAAAAAAAAAAATTAGCTGGGCGTGGTGGTGGGCGCCTTGTAGACCCAGCTACTCCGGAGGCTGAGGCAGGAGAATGGCGTGAACCCGGGAGGCGGAGCTTGCAGTGAGCCGAGATCGCGCCACTGCCCTCCAGCCTGGGCGACAGAGCGAGACTCCGTCTTAAAAAAAAAAAAAAAAGTGTACGATCACATGTTTATAAGAACATTCTGTTCTTATAATAATTGTAACAGTAACTCCTCCAGAATAATTTTTAACAACTAGAGTCTTACAATCACAAGAAAGATATTTTTCATCTCAATTAATATACATGTATATGCAGGAAGATGTAAAAGATTGGTCAATAAAGGACTTTCAAGTATAAAAGCATAAAGTTTGTGGGGAAGTGGAGTAGTAGTAGGAGCTCAAGGAAAAAAGAGGTGATGAAAGAAAAAAGGAATGATTCCCAACTGGTAAGAACTAATTTATACTTTTTTTTTTTTTTTGAGATGGAGTCTTGCTCTGTCGCCCAGGCTGGAGTTCAATGGCACAATCTCTGCTTACTGCAACCTCCCACTCCCGGGTTTAAGCGATTCTCCTGCCTCAACCTCCTGAGCAGCTGGGATTACAGGCACACAACACCATGCCCAGCTAATTTTTTGTATTTTTTGTATTTTTTTTTTTTAGTGGATATGGGTTTTTGGCATGTTGGCCAGGCTGGTCTCAAACTCCTGACCTCGTGATCCACCCAACTCAGCCTCCCAAAGTGCTGGGATTACAGGCGTGAAGCACCGTGCCCGGCCATCACTATGATATTTCAATTCCACTGGACAATAAATGGTGATCTAATTGTTTTATTTTAAAATGTGGGGCCAGGCATGGTGACTCATGCCTGTAATCCTACCACTTTGGGAGGCCGAGGCGGGCAGATCACTTGAGGTCAGGAGTTCGAGACCAGCCTGACCAACATGAGGAAACCTCGTCTCTACTAGAGATACAAAAAATAGCCAGGCGTGGTCGTGGGCGCCTGTAATCCCAGCTATTTGGGAGCTGAGGCAGGGGAATCCCTTGAATTTGGGAGGCAAAAGTTGCAGTGAGCCAAGATCACGCCACTGCACTCCAGCCTGGGCGATAGAGCAAGACTCTGTCTCAAAAAATAAAAAAATAGGCCGGGCGTGGTGGCTCAAACCTGTAATCCCAGCACTTTGGGAGGCCGAGGCAGGCAGATCACCTGAGGTCAGGAGTTCGAGACCAGCCTGCCCAACATGATGAAACCCCGTCTCTACTAAAATTACAAAAAAATTAGCTGGGTGTAGTGGCGGGCGCCTGTAGTCCCAGCTATTTGGGAGGCTGAGGCAGGAGAATCGCTTGAACCCGGGAGGCAGAGGTTGCCGGAAGCCAAGATCGCACCACTACACTCCAGCATGGGCAACACAGAGAGACTGTGTCTCAAAAAAATAAATAAATAGGCCAGGTGCAGTGGCTCATGCTGTAATTCCAGCACTTTGGGAGGCCGAGGCAGGCAGATCACGAAGTCTAGGAGTTCGAGACCAGCCTGGCCAATATGGTGACACCCCCGTCTCTACTAAAAATACAAAAATTAGCTGGGCGTGGTGGCTCGCGCCTTTAGTCCCAGCTACTTGGGAAGCTGAGGCAGAAGAATCGCTTGAACCCAGGAGGCGGAGATTTCAGTGAGCCAAGATGGTGCCACTGCACTCCAGCCTGGGTGACAGAGCAAGACTCTGTCTCAAAAAATAAATAAATAAAATAAAATGTGGCCAGCTGTGGCTCACCGCCTATAATCCTAGCACTTTGGGAAGTTGAGGTGGGTGGATTGCTTGATCTCAGGATTACAGACCAGCCTAGGCAACATAGTGAGACCTCATCTCAATAAATCAATAAATAGGCTGGGCGCAGTGGCTCATGCCTGTAATCCCAGCACTTTGGGAGGCTGAGGTGGGCGGATCACTTGAGGTCAGGAGTTCCAGACCAGCCTTGCCAACATGATGAAACCTTGTCTCTACTAAAAATACAAAAATTAGCTGGGCACGGTGGCACACACCTGTAGTCCCAGCTATTTGGGGGCCTGAGGCAGGAGAATCGCTAGAATCTGGGAAGTGGAGGCAGGCTGCAGTGAGCAGAGATCACTGCCACTGCACTCCAGCCTGGGCAACAGGAGACTCTGTCACAAAAAAAAAAAAAAAAAAAGAGTTCAAGACCAGCGTGGCCAACATGGTGAAATCCCCATCTCTACTAAAAATATAAAAATTAGGGGTGCTGGTGCACACCTGTGGTCCCAGCTACTCAGGAGGCTGTGGCAGGAGAATTGCTTGAACCCCAGAGGCAGAGGTTGCAGTGAGCCGAGATTGCACCACTGCACTGCAGCCTGGGCGACAGAGCAAGACTCCATCTCAAAAAAAAAATAAAAATTAAAAAATAAATAAAATGTGAATATTTTCAATATGCCAGAATTACATCCTTGAAACAATTTTTATTTATTTATTTTTATTTTTATTTATTTATTTATGTATTTTTGGAAGGAGTCTCGCTCTGTCACCCAGGCCGGAGTGCAATGGTGCGATCTCGGCTCACTGCAACTGCCTCCCGGGTTCAAGCAATTCTCCTGCCTCAGCCTCTGAGTAGCTGAGGCAGAGAATCAGGTGCCCACCAACTTTCCCGGCTAATTTTTGTATTTTTAGTAGACATGGGGTTTCACCATATTTGCCAGACTGGTCTTGAACTCCTGACTTTAGGTGATCCCCCTGCCTTGGCCTCCCAAATTTCTGGGATTACAGGCATGAGCCACTGTGCCCGGCCACAATTTTAATTTATGATGAAAATTTTTAGATACCTACTTAAAGATATATGAAGGAGTATATACTTCTTCAAAATTATTTCCCTGAGTATAGGTGCAGAATTTAAGACTGCTGCCCTGGCCGGGCGCAGTGGCTCACACCTGTAATCCCAGCGCTTTGGGAGGCCAAGGCAGGCAGATACCTGAGGTCGGAGTTGGAGACCTGCCTGACTAACATGGAGAAACCTTGTCTCTACTAAAAATACAAAATTAGCAGGGGGCGGTGGCGCATGCCTGTAATCCCAGCTACTCAGGAGGCTGAGGCAGGAGAATCCCTTGAACCCTGGAGGCAGAGGTTGCAGTGAGCCAAGATTGTGCCATTGCACTCCAGCCTAGGTAACAAGAGCAAAACTCCATCTCAAAAAAAAAAAAAAAAAAAAAAAGACTGCTGCCCTAAGCTATCCAAGCATCTCCTCCATAGCCCCCAACACTCCCATTTCCCTCCTGTCTCCCCTCTCACCTCCTTGGTGGGGAAAGAAGATGTTTATAGGAAAGGTGGTCACAATTCCAGCTCCTCCTCCTTCTGAGGTGTCCCCAGGAGCCAGTCCCCTAACTTTGCCCATAGTAGTAACCACAGCAGCTTATAAGCAGCCTCCAGCATCAGCAGTGTCAGGAAGAGGGCCAGGAAGATAAAGAAAGCCTTGTCCAAGGCACGTCGCACGGGACCCCTGGGAGGGGAGGGACCCTGGGCAAATGCCAGGAACACATCCGCCTCGTCCACATCACCTTCCTCTGCCATCCTGACTCACAGTCAGACAGCTGGCTGGATCAGGGGGCTGGGATGCAAGGCCTTGCTCAGCACTGCCAGGATTAAGGAGCATGGCTGTGGCAAGTCCTGCACCTGCCAGTCCTGACCTTAATTCCCACACCTAAGAGAAAAGAGAAAGGACCCTATGAGCCTTCAGATCAATTATTTAAACATCCAGTGTGATGTGAAAGGTCTGGACTAAATGATCCATGAACTCTATTCAGCTTTTTCATAGTATAATTCTGTGATTTGGAAACTGAAGGCCCAACATGAAGGCATAAGCTAGAACTGCCTGTCACTCTGGGTCTCAAGTCTCAAAGACTCAAGGCTCAAAATCTTGGGCCCCAACTGATAGAGAGTGAGGAAATGGACCTACCATGCATCTGTGAGCCATGGTCAGTCAAGGATCTAAAGCCCCTTCTGGCTGGATGGTAGGGGGTGAGATGGTCTATCCTAACCAAGGCGGGTAGGAACAAGCAGAGGGGACTTGAGTTCTCACAGGAGTAGTTCTCCCCACTGGGTCTGCAGGCAGCTAAGTTTGAGATGGTATAACCCAGAACACTCTCTTCCTAACTTTTGGTCTCTGCAGTACCAAGGGAGGATTATCATTGACTGCATGAGCCCAAGGGGAGGCTTATAAAAAGACAAAGACCGTGATGGATCAGCAGGGCAAGGGTATGTGATTGGGACTTGGCTGTTGGGTTGGGGTTATTTTACTTTACTTTACTTATTTATTTACAGACGGAGTCTCGCTCTGTCTCCCAGGCTGGAGTGCAGTGGCACGATTTCGGCTCACTGCAACCTCTGTCTCCTGGGTTCAAGAAATTCTCCTTCCTCAACCTCCCAAGTAGCTGGGACTACAGGCATGTGCCACCATGTCCGGCTAATTTTTTTGTATTTTTAGTAGAGACGGGGTTTCACCATGTTGGTCAAGCTGGTCTGGAACTCCTGACCTCAAATGATCCACCCACCTTGGCCTCCCAAAGTGCTGAGATTACAGGTGTGAGCCACTGCACCCAGCCAGGGTAATTTTAAAGAAGAGTGAAGTTTTGCCATCGATGGTCCAGGTCTCAGAGGCTACCAGTGGAGGATGTGGTTGAGGAGGTTGTAGGAGCAAGGACTGAAGACCTTTTCTTTTCTTTCTTTTTTTTTTTTTTTTTTGACTGATTGAAGACCTTTTCTTAGGCCAGGCGTGGTGGCTCACGCCTGTAATTCCAGCACTTTGGGAGCCCGAGGCGGATGGATCAATTGAGGTCAGGAGATCAAGACCAGCCTGGCCAACATGGTGAAACACTGTTTCTACCTAAAATACAAAAATTATCCGGGAGTGGTGGCGCATGCCTGTAATCCCAGCTACTCGGGAAGCTGATGCAGGAGAATCTCTTGAAACTGGGAGGCGGAGGTTGCCATGAGCTAAGATCATGCCACTGCAACTGCACTCCAACCTGGGTGACAGAGTGAGACTCCGTCTCAAAAAAATAAAAATAAAAAAAGAAGATGTTTTATTGACCCTGTTCCCCAGGCATTGGCCTGAAGGTTGGGTAATGAAATTGAAGCCCATCTGGAAACAAGGGATTCGCCCAAGTGAGGCTGAGGGAGGGGAGGGGGAACGGTGGAGGAAGCAGTGTGTGTAGTAGTGAACCTTATACTGGGAACCTTTGGAGCCTCCTACCTAAACTATTTCATTTTCATTTTCACCTCAATAGGAAGATCTTGTTCCTTTTTTTTTTTTTTTTAACCGGATCTTTTTTTTTTTTGAGATGGAGTCTCGCCCTGTCCCCCGGGCTGGGGTGCAATGGCACGATCTCGGCTCACTGCAACCTCCGCCTCCCGGGTTCAAACCATTCTCCTGCCTCAGCCTCCCAAGTCGCTGGAATTACAGGTACGTGCCACCACGCCTGGCTAATTTTTTGTACCTTTAGTAGAGACGGGGTTTCACAGTGTAGGCCAGGCTGGTCTCGAACTCCTGACCTCGTGATCCACCCACCTCAGCCTCCCAAAGTGCTGGGATTACAGGCATAAGCCACCGCACCCGGGCTACAGGATCTTGCTCTGTCACCCAGGCTGGAGTGTAGTGGCTCAAACGTGGCCCACTGCAGCCTTGATCTCCCCAGCTCAAGCAATCCTCCCATCTTAGCCTCCTGAGTAGTTGGGACCACAGGTGTGTGTCACCACGCCTGGCTCATTTTTGAATTTTGTAGAGACAGGGTCTTTCTATGTTACCCAGGCTGGTTTTTAACTCCTGAGCTTATTAAACAATCCTTCCACCTCAGCCTCCCATCATTCTGGAATTACAAGCATAAGCCACCATGCCTAAGAATACCTTCTTTACTTGGGAAGTCAGGTCACCCCCCAAAAGAGCAGAAATGATGTTATAATGTTGTTTTGAGGGCTGGGCGCGGTGGCTCACGCCTGTAATCCCAGCACTTTGGGAGGCCGAGGTGGGCGGATCACAAGGTCAGGAGATTGAGGCCATCCTGGCAAACACGGTGAAACCCCGTCTCTACTAAAAATACAAAAAATTAGGCCAGGCGCGGTGGCTCACGCCTGTAATCCCAGCACTTTGGGAGGCCGAGGCGGACAGATCACGAGGTCAGGAGATCGAGACCATCCTGGCTAACACGGTGAAACCCCGTCTCTACTAAAAATACAAAAAATTAGCCAGGTGTGATGGCGGGTGCCTGTAGTCCCAGCCACTTGGGAGGCTGAGGCAGGAGAATCACTTGAACCCGGGAGGCAGAGTTTGCAGTGAGCCAAGATCATGCCACTGCACTCCAGATTGGGCGATACAGTGAGACTCCGTCTCAAAAAAAAAAAAAAAATACAAAAAATTAGCCGGCTGTGGTGGCGGGAGCCTGTAGTCCTAACTACTCGGGAGGCTGAGGCAGGAGAATGGCATGAACCCCAGAGGCGGAGCTTGCAGTGAGCCGAGATTGCTCCACTGCACTCCAGCCTGGGCGACAGAGCGAGACTCTGTCTCAAAAAAAAAATGTTGTTTCAAGTCATGCCGCATTGTCTTTTGCTGCAGCTGCAAAGGAGTCTCGAAAAAGTGAAAAAACCCTGGACTAGAATTTAAACTGATCACTTAGTTGTGTGAAGCTGTGGACAAGTCACATGACCTTTCTTTAGTGTTTTGTTTTGTAATAAAATCAGAAAAAGCTCTTGCCTCCCAGAATTATTCTGAGAGATAAATGAAATAAAGGTTTTTTGATGTTGTTGGTTTTTTGTAAATTATAAAGCACTATGTAAATGTAACATATTAATCTGATACCCTCACTTACATCCCAGGCAAGTGTGCAATAAGGCCACACAAACACCTTTATTGTCTCTTTACATGGTAGGTTCAGCACCAACATCTTGTGTAATAAATAAACCTAGCATCTTGTTGGAATTTTTTTAATTTTGAAATAATTTTCAGCTTACAGAAAAATTTAAGAACAGTTCCAAGAACTTTGGCATGTACCTCTTTCACTCAGATTTTCCATTTGTCAACACTTGGCTGTATTTGTTCCATCTCGCTCTCAACCCCAGTATAACCATGTGTTACAGGTTGAATTGTGTCTCCTAAAAATTCATATGTTGTGCAGCCATAAAAATGAATAAGGGCTGGGCTGGGCGCAGTGTCTCATGCCTGTAATCCCAGCACTTTGGGAGACCGAGGCGGGCAGATCACAAGTTCAAGAGATCGAGACCATCCTGGTTAACACACTGAAAGCCCATCTCTACTAAAAATACAAAAAACTAGCCGGGTGTGGTGGTGGGCGCCTGTAGTCCTAGCTACTCAGGAGGCTGAGGCAGGGGAATGGCTTGAACCCGGGAGGCGGAGGTTGTGGAGAGCTGAGATCGCACCACTGCACTCCAGTCTGGCAACAGAGTGAGTTGTTGCCAAAAAAAAAAAGAAAAAAGAACAAGATCAGGCCAGGCGCGGTGGCTTATGCCTGTAATCCCAGAACTTTGAGAGGCCAAGGTGGGCAGATCACAAGGTCAGGAGTTTGAGACTAGCCTGGCCAACATGGCAAAAACCCATATCTACTAAAAATACAAAAATTAGCTGGGCATGGTGGCAGGCCCCTATAATTCCAGCTAGTGACATGGGAGGCTGAGGCAGGAGAATCACTTGAACCCAGGGGGCCGAGGTTGCAGTAAGCTGTGATCTCACCATTGCACTCCAGCCCCACTGACAGTACGAGACTCCTCTCAAAAAAAAAAAAAAAAAAAAAAAGGTGAAGAATTCATTTGTTCGCATGTTCTCACTTACAAGTGATGATGAGAATACACGGACACACGGTGGGAAACAACACAACTGGGTCCTGTCTGGGGGAGTGGGGGAAGGAAGGGCACCAGGAAGAATAGCTAATGGATGCTGGGCTTAATACCTGGGTGATGGGATGATCTGTGCAGCAAATCACCATTGCACACGTTTACCTATGTAACAAACCTACACATCGCACACATGTACCCCTGAACTTAAAATAAAAGTCGAAGGAAAAAAATAAAATTTATATAATGAAGTCCTAACTCCCAGTTCCTCAGAATGTAACCTTATTTGGAAATAAGGTTGTTGCATATGTAATTGGTTCAATGAGGTCATACTGGAGTTGAGTGGGCCTCTCACCCCCTTTATAAGAAAGGAAGTTTGGACATAGGCTTGCGGATAGAGAGAATGACATGTGACCATGAAGGCAGAGATCAGGTTGATATGTCAAAGATTGCCAGCAGGCCAGGCACCATGGCTTATGCCTGTAATCCCAGCACTTTGGGAGGCCAACACAGGTGGATCACCTGAGGTCAGGAGTTCGAGACCAGCCTGGCCAACATAGTGAAATCCCATCTCTACTAAAAATACAAAAAATTGGCCGAGCACAATGGCTCACGCCTGTAATCCCAGCACTTTGGGAGGCTGAGGCGGGCAGATCACGAGGTCAGGAGTTCAAGACCAGCCTGGTCAACATGGTGAAACCCTGCCTCTACTAAAAATACAAAAATTGGCAGGGCATGGTCATGGGCACCTGTAATTCCAGCTATTCTGGAGGCAGGAGAATTGCTTGAACCTGGAGGCGGAGGTTGCAGTGAGCTGAGATCGTGTCACTGCACTCCAGCCTGGGCGACAGAGCGAGACTCTGTTTCAGAAAAAAAAAAAAAAAAAAAATACAAAATGTTAGCCGGGCGTGGTCGTGGGTGCCTGTAATCCCAGCTACTCAATCGGGAGGCTGAGGCAGGAAAATTGCTTGAACCTGGGAGGCAGAGGTTGCACTGAGCCGAGATCTTGCCATTGCACTCCAGCCTGGGTGACAGAGCAAGATTCCGTCTCAAAACACACACACACACACACACACACACACACAAAAGACTGCCAGCAAACCACCGGAAACTAGTAGAAAGGCCTGGAACAGATTCTCCCTTACACCCCTCAGAAAGAACCAACCCTGCCTACACCTTGATCTCAGACTTCCAGCCTCCAGAACTGTAAGGCAATACATTTCTGCTGTTTAAGTCTCCCAGTTTGTGATACTTTGTTATGGCAGCCCTAGCAAACTAAAACACCATTCTAATCAGGAAATCAATATCACTCTTCAATTCATAGATCCCATTCAGATTTCACCAGCTGTCCCAGTAATGACCGCCTCTTCTTTTTTAAATTATCTTTTTTTTTTTTTTTTTTTTTGGAGACAGGTCTGTCACCCAGGCTGGAGTGCAGTGGTGCGATCTCGGTGCACTACAACCTCCACCTTCCGGGTTCAAACAATTCTCCTGCCTCAGCCTCCCAAGTAGCTGGGACTATAGGCACACGCCGCCACAGCCAGCTAATTTTTTGTATTTTAGCAGAGACGGGGTTTCGCCATGTTGTTCAGGCTGGTCTTGAACTCCTGAGCTCAGGCAATCCACCCGCCTAGGCCTCCCAAAGTGCAATTATCTTTTCTTTTAACAGCTGTTTTTTTCTTTTTCTTTTTTTTTTTTTTTGAGATGAGGTCTCACTCTGTTGCCCAGGCCAAAGTGCAGTGGTGCTATCAAGAGCTCACTGCAGCCTCAAACTCCTGGGCTCAAGTGATCCTCCCACCTGAGCCTTCCAAAGTGCTGGGACTACAGATGCGTGCCACCATACTTGGCCTATCTGTCCTTTCTAGTCCAGGATCACATACTGCATTTGACTGTCACATATCTATCTGTAGTCTCCTTCAATCTGGGAAGTTCTCAGTCTTTCCTTGTCTCTCATGAATTTGACAGTTTTGAAGAGGTCTTTCATTTCTTTCTTTTTTTTCTTTTCTTTTCTTTTTTTTTTTAAACAGGTTCTTGCTCTGTCGCCCAGGCTAGAGTGCAGTAGCAGGATCATAGCTCACTGCAGCCTCAAATTCCTCGGCTCAAGCAATCCTCCCACCTCAGCATTCTGAGTAGCTGCGGCTACAGGTGTGTGCCAGCACATCCGGGGAATTTAAACATTATTTGTAGGCTGGGCACAGTGGCTCATGCCTGTAATCCCAGCACTTTGGGATGCCGAGGCAGGCAGATCACAAGGTCAGGAGTTTGAGACCAGCCTGGCCAGCGTGGTGAAACCCCATCTCTACTAAAACTCCAAAAAATTAGCCAGGCATGGTGGCACATGCCTGTAATCCCAGCTAGCTACACAGGAGGCTGAGGCAGGAGAATTGCGTGAAACCGGGAGGCAGAGGTCACAGTGAGCCGAGATTGTGCCAATATGCTCCACCCTGGGAGTCAGAGCAAAACTCCATCACAAGAAAAAAAAAAAAAAAAGACAGGACTTTCTACTTGCTAGCCTCTCTATTGCTGGCTTTGATGATGTAAGATGCCATATTGGAGAAACCCACATGGCAAGAAACTAGGTGTGGTCTCCAAACACTAACCAACAGGGAACTGAGACCCTCAGTCAAAAAACCCTTTAGAAACTGAATCCTGCAAACAGCTATGTGAGTGAGCTTAGAAGCAGAACCTTCCCCAGTTAAGCTTTATTTTTATTTTTATTTTTATTTTTATTTTTTTTGAGACAGAGTCTTGCTCCGTCACCCAGGCTAGAGTGCAATGTGCTATCTCGCCTCATTGCAACCTCCACCTCCCAGGTTCAATCGATTCTCCTGCCTCAGCCTCCCAAGTAGCTGGGATTACAGGTGCCCGCCACAACACCCAGCTAATTTCTGTATTTTTAGTAGAAACCGGGTTTCACCAGGTGGGCCAGGCTGGTCTGGAACTCCTGACCTCAGGTGATGCACCTGCCTCAGCCTTCCAAAGTGCTGGGATTACATGCATGAGCCACTGAGCCCGGCCCTGAGCTTTCAGATGAGATCACAGGCAACTCATAGACTGCAGTCTTATGAGAGCCTCCGAAGCAGAGGATCCAGCTAAGCTGTTCCCAGATTTCTCCCCCACAGAAGCCATCAGATAACAGTGTGTTGTTTTGAGCCACCGGGTTTTGGGGTAATTTGTTACACAGCAATAGATAACTCATACACTGTGCTAGAATTGAGCACCAGATCTTCAGTAACAGATACACCCATATATTCCTTCCAAATTTATTCTTTTAACATTTATGATATGTGGGGCCTTCTGAAATGTGGGGCTCCAGGCAGGATCTCCTCTTGCTTGGATATAAGAGCAGCACTAGAATTAGTCTATCAGTCTTCACATTTTCTTGCTTGCATGCTCCTTAAAAACATTTTGGAAAATTATGTGCCATTTTGTATATATTTTTATTTGGCATCTAATTTTTTTCCTTGTTGATTTAAATAACTGCAAAGAGTATAACAAATCGGCTTGGTGCAATGGCTCACACCTGTAATCCCAGTACTTTGGGAGGCCGAGGCAGGTGGATAACGAGGTCAGGAGTTCAAGACCAGCCTGGCTAACATAGTGAAACCCTGTCTGTACTAAAAATACAAAAATTAGCTGGGCATGGTGGCGTATGCCTGTAATCCCAGCTACTCGGGAGGCTGAAGCACAAGAATTGCTTGAACCTGGGAGGCGGTGGTTGCAGTGAGCCGATATCATACCACTGCATTCCAGCCTGGGCAACAGAGCGAGACTCCATCTCAGAAAAAAAAAAAGAGTGTAACAGATCTTGTGTCTTATATAAATATTGACATTGTAAAATAAAACTGTCAACTGGGCACGGTGGCTCACGCCTGTAATTCTAGCACTTTGGGAGGCCGAGGCAGGCGGATCACGAGGTCAAGGGATCGAGACCAGCCTGGCCAACATGGTGAAACCCCATCTCTACTAAAAATACAAAAATTAGCTGGGCGTGGTGGCACGCGCCTGTAGTCCCAGCTAATGAGGAGGCTGAGGCAGGAGAATAGCTTGAACCCAGGAGGAGGAGGTTGCAGTGAGCTAAGATCACACCACTGCACTCCAGCCTGGCTGACAGAGCCAAACTCCATCTCAAAAAAACAAAAACAGGCTGGGTGCGGTGGCTCACGCTTGTAATCACAGCACTATGGGAGGCCGAGACAGGCGGATCACGAGGTCAGGAGATCGAGACAATCCTGACTAACACGGTGAAACCCCGTCTCTACTAAAAATACAAAAAAATTAGCCGGGCATAGTGGCGGGCGCCTGTAGTCCCAGCTACTCGGGAGGCTGAGGCAGAATGGCGTGAACCTGGGAGGCGGAGCTTGCAGTGAGCCAAGATCGCGCCACTGCACTCCAGCCTGGGCAACAGAGCCAGGCTCCATCTCAAAAAAACAAACAAAACAAAAACAACAAAAAAAAACAAAAAACTGTCTGGCTGGGTGCAGTGGCTCACGCCTGTAATCCTAGCACTTTGGGAGGCTGAGGTGAGTGGATCACCTGAGGTCAGGAGTTCAGACCAATCTGGCCAACATAGTGAAACCTTGTCTCTACCAAAAATACAAAAATTAGCCAGGCATGGTGGCACATGCCTGTAATCCCAGCTACTCCCGGGTTCAAGCAATTCTTGTGCCTCAGCCTCCCAAGTAGATGGGATTACAGGTGTGCACCACCACACACCTGGCTAATATTTTTGTATTTTTAGTAGAGATGGGGTTTCACCATGTTGGCTAGGCTGGTCTGGAACTCCTGACCTCAGGTAATCTGCTCGCCTCAGCCTCCCAAAATGCTGGGATTACAGGCATGAGCCACCACACCTGGCCACAAAATAAATAAGGAAATAAATAAATATATATATGTAAAATATATATATGTAATATATGTAAAATATATATGTTATATATGTAAATATATATATATATACACACATATAGTTTGTTTGTTTTTGAGATGGAGTTTTGCTCTTGTTGCCCAGGCTGGAGTGCAATGGCACGATCTTGGCTCACTGCAACCTCCGCCTCCCGGGTTCAAGCGATTCTCCTGCCTCAGCCTCCTGAGTAGCTGGGAATACAGGCATGCACCACCACGCCTGGATAATTTTTTATTTTTAGTAGAGATTGGGTTTCTCCATATTGGTCAGGCTGGTCTCGAACTCCTGACCTCAGGTGATCCACCCACCTCGGCCTCCCAAAGTGCTGAGATTATAGGTGTGAGCCACTGCACCCAGCCCGCTCTGTCTTAAATATGAGTGCCCAGTTAAGGAACACCAGATATTTGAGGAAGACTTCAGACATGAGCAAAAACCCAAAATTAAAAGTAAAAACGACACAGCATTGTGCTCTTCGCCTTCCCTCATCGTCTGGCGCAGGGCAGCCCACTTCTGGTGTTTGGCGCTGGAATTAAACAACCACCATGTGGAGCAAAAAGGCAAGACCAAGACCACCAAAAAGCTCCCTCAGCGCACAACATCCAACGTGTTTGCCATGTTTGACCAGTCACAGATTCAGGAGTTCAAAGAGGCCTTCAACATGATTGATCAGAACAGAGATGGTTTCATCAACAAAGAAGATTTGCATGATATGCTTGTTTCCCTAGGGAAGAATCCCACCGATGCATACCTTGATGCCATAATGAATGAGGCACCAGGGCCCATCGATTTCACCATGTTCCTCACCATATTTGGTGAGAAGTTAAATGGCACAGATCCTGAAGATGTCATTGGAAATGCTTTTGCTTGCTTTGATGAAGAAGCAACAGGCATTATTCAGGAAGATTACCTGAGAGAGCTGCTGATAACCATGTGGGATCGGTTTACGGATGAGGAAGTGGATGAGCTGTACAGAGAAGCGCCTATTAACAAAAAGGGGAATTTCAATTACATCGAGTTCACATGCATCCTGAAACATGGAGCAAAAGACAAAGACGACTGAAAAGAACTTTAGCTAAAACCTTCCAACTACATTGTCTTACTCTGTTTTATTTCTCAGACACTTCCCCCATCCTCATAGAACCTGTTGCATGCAACTTAGTTTCACAGCTTTGCCTCTTTTTTTTTTTTATGTATTTATTCCAGACCTTTCTGTCACACAGCACTTGTATAATCAGACTGAAAATGGGGATGAGGGTGTAAATTGTATTGAAAAAGAGATCATGGCCGGGCGCAGTGGCTCACGCCTGTAATCCCAGCAACTTGGGAGGCCGAGGCGGGTGGATAACCTGAGGTCAGGCGTTCAAGACCACGCTGACCAACATGGTGAAACCCCGTCTCTACTAAAAATACAAAAAGTTAGTTGGGCGTGGTGGCGGGCACCTGTAATCCCAGCTACTCAGGAGGCTGAGGCAGGAGAATCGCTTGAACCCAGGAGGCAGAAGTTGCAGTGAACCAAGATCACACCGTTGCACCCCAGCCTGGGCAACAAGAGCAAAATTCAGTCAAAAAAAAAAAAAAGAAAGAAAGAAAAGAAAAGAAGGCCAGGCACGGTGGCTCACGCCTGTAATCCCAGCACTTTGGGAGGCTGAGGCGGGTGGATCACGAGGTCAGGAGATCGAGACCATCCTGGCTAACACGGTGAAACCCCGTCTCTACTAAAAATACAAAAACATTAGTCAGGCATGGTGGTGGGCTCCTGTTGTCCCAGCTACTCGGGAGGCTGAGGCAGGAGAATGGCATGAAGCCAGGAGGCAGAGCTTGCAGTGAGCCGAGATTGAGCCACTGCACTCCGGCCTGGGCGACAGAGTGAGACTCCGTCTCAAAAAAAAAAAAAAAGAAAAGAAGAAAAAGAAAAAGTGATAGCAAATAAAAATCAACAAATGTGAAAAAAAAAAAGTAAAAACAAACATGGAGGAAAGAGACAGAAGAGGAAAACTTCATATAAACTATAATAAATTTCCACACTGATGAGAGAAAATGAGTATCAGAAGAAGAAGAAGAGTTGTAAGATCAACAGGATATGAGAAATGAAAACTTGAGCCAGGTGCAGTGGCTCACACCTGTAATCCCAGCACTTTGGGAGGCTGAGGCAGCCAGATCACTTGAGGTCAGGAGTTCAAGACCAGCCTGGCCAACATGGTGAAACCCTGTCTCTACTAAAAACACGAAAATTAGTCGGGTGTGGTCATGGGTGCCTGTAATCCCAGCTATGCAGGAGGCTGAGGCAGGAGAATCGCTTGAGCCTGGGAGGCGGTGGTTGCAGTGAGCCGAGATCGCACCACTGCACTCTAGCCTGGGTGACAGAGTGAGACTCCATCTCAAAAAAAAAAAAGAAGAAAAAAGAAAAAAAAACTTGAACCCAATTATAAGATCTAGATTTTGGCCAGGTGCGGTAGCTCATGCCTGTAATCTCAACACTTAAGAGGCTGAGGTAGGAGGATTGCTTGAGCCCAGACATTTGAGACCAACCTGGGTAACATAGGGAGACTTGTCTCTACAAATAATTTAAAAATTAACAGGCAGGGCGCAGTGGCTCATGCCTGTAATCCCAGCACTTTGGGAGGCCAGGGCAGGCAGATCATGTGAGGTCAGGAGTTCGAGACCAGCATGACCAAAATGGTGAAACCCCATCTCTACTAAAAATACAAAAAAAAATTAGCGGGGCATGGTGGCTCGCACCTGTAATCCCAGCTACTTGGGAGGCTGAGACAGGGGAATTATTTGAACCCAGCAGGTGGAAGTTGCAGTGAGCCAAGATCGCACCATTGCATTCCAGCCTGTGTGACAGAAAGACTCTGTCTCAAGAGGAAAAAAAAAAACATTAGCCAGGGCCGGTCGCGGTGGTTCATGCCTGTATTCCCAGCACTTTGGGATCCCAAGGTGGGCAGATCACTTGAGGTTAGGAATTCGAGACCAGCCTGACCAACATGATGAAACCCCGTCCCTACTAAAAATACAAAAAAATTAGCTGGGTGTGGTGGTGCATGCCTGTAATCCCAGTTACTCGTGAGGCTAAGGCAGGAGAATTGCTTGAACTTCGGAGATTTTGCAGTGAGCCAAGATTGGGCCACTTGCACTCCAGCCTGGGTGACAAAGCAAGACTTCCTCTCAAAAAAAAGAAATCCATGGCCGGGCGCAGTGGCTCACGCCTGTAATCCCAGCACTTTGGGAGGCCGAGATGGGTGGATCACGAGGTCAGGAGATCTAGACCATCCCGGCTAACATGGTGAAACCCCATTTCCACTAAAAATACAAAAAATTAGCCAGGCATGGTGGCGGGCACCTCTAGTCCCAGCTACTTGGGAGGCTGAGGCAAGAGAATGGTGTGAATCCGGGAGGCGGAGCTTGCAGTGAGCCGAGATTGTGCCACTGCACTCCAGCCTGGACAACAGGGAGAGACTCTGTCAAAAAAAAAAAAAAAAAAAGAAATCTCAAAAAAGAAAGAAAAATGGCCAGGCACAGTGGCTCATGCCTGTAATCCCAGCAGTTTGGGAGGCTGAGGTGGGCACATCAACTTAGGTCAGGAGTTCGAGACTAGCATGATCAACATGGTGAACTCTGTCTCTACTAAAAATACAAAATTAGCCTGATGTAGTGGCACATGCCTCTAGTCCCAGCTACTCAGGAGGCTGAGACAGGAGAATCACTTGACAGGAGGCAGAGGTTCTGGTGAGCTGAGATCACACCATTGCACTCCAACCTGGGCAACAAGAGTGAAACCCCAGTTTAAAAAAAAAAGGAAAAAAAAAGAAAAAAAAAAAACCACGGTAGCGTGCACCTGTGTTTCCAGCTATTCAGGAGGCTGAGGCAGGAGGATCATCTGACCTGGAGGTCAAGGCTGCAGTGAGCCATGATCACACCACTGCACTCCAGCTTGGGCAACATAGTGAGACTCTGTCACGAAGCCTGCAGTGCAGTGACGAGATCTTGGCTCACTGCAATCTCTGCATCTCAGGTTCAAATGATTCTCTGCCTCAGCCTCCCAAGTAGCTGGGATTTACTGGCATTTGCCACCATGCCTGGCTAGTTTTTGAATTTTTTTAGTAGAGACAGTGTTTTGCCATGTTGGCCAGGCTGGTCTGTACCTAATTTTGTATTTATACTTTTGGTTTTTTTTTTTTTTTGAGACGGAGTCTCGTTCTGTTGCCCTGGCTGGAGTGCAGTGGCGTGATCTCAGCTCACTGCAACCTCCGCCTCCTGGGTTCAAGCGATTCTCCTGCCTCAGCCTCCTGAGTAACTGGGATTATAGGCACTCACCACCGTGCCTGGCTAATTTTTATATTTTTTTTTAGTAAAGATGGGGTTTGGCCATGTTGGCCAAGCTGGTCTCAAACTCCTGACTTCAGGTGATCTGCCCACCTCGGCCTCCCAAAGTGCTGGGATACTTTTGGTATTCTTTCTCTTAAAACAGGTATCCAAAATTGTACACGTGTCAGCCTCCCACCAACCTACATCTGCTGCACTTGCAGAGATAGAGTCTATATATATAAGCATGTATTAATATATATAAGTGTATATGTATAAATGTATACATACATATAAATACATGATCACTACTCTTTTCCTTGCTTTTCCTCACTTAATACCTTGAAATCAAACAGAGAGGTGCTTCCTTCTTTTTTTTTTTCGGAGTCGGAGTCTTGTTCTGTTGCCCAGGCTGGAGTGCAGTGGCCCAATCTCGGCTCACTGCAACCTTCACCTCACAGGTTTAAGTTTTTCTTCTGCCTCAGCCTCCCAAGTAACTTGGACTACAGGCGCACACCACCATGCCTGGCTAATTTTTGTATTTTTAGTAGAGATGGGGTTTCACCATATTGGCCAGGCTGGTCTCGAACTCCTGACCTCATGATCCTTCTGACTTGGCCTCCCAAAGTGCTGAGATTACAGGCTTGAGCCACCACGCCCAGCCTCTTTTTTTTTTTTTTTTTTTAAATTTAATTTAATGGAGATGAGTTCTCTCAATATGTTACCCAGAGTAGTCTCAAATTCTTGGGCTCAAGTGATCCACCTACCTTGGCCTCCCAAAGTGCTGGGATTATAGGAGTGAGCCACCGCACCCGACCCCTTGTTTGTTATAGTGCTCCCTTGACTCTCAAAAATGTCCAGTGTAGGCCAGGCGTGGTGGTTCACACCTATAATCCCAGCACTTTGGGAGGCCAAGGCAGGTGGATCACTTGAGGTCAGGAGTTTAAGACTTGCCGGGCTAACATGGTAAAACCCTGTCTACAAAAAATACAAAAATTAGCTGTGCGTGGTGGTGCGCACCTGTAATCCCAGCTACTCAGGAGGCTGACTGAGGCAGGAAGACTGCTTGAACCTGGGAGGCAGAGGCGGAGGTTGTAGTGAGCTGAGATTGTGCCACCGCACTCTAGAGCAAGACTCCATCTCAAAAAAAAAATGTCTAGTGTAAATGTATGTTCTTTGAAGTAGAATTGCTAGGTCAAAGAATACGTAAATACTTGATTTGGGTAGATATTTTTAAAATGCTTTCTGTAGAAGCCGCACCAGTGTACCTTCCTTCCTGTCGGCAATGTGTGACAGTACCAGTTTCCTTTCCCCACCCCATCAGCTGAGTGTGTTATCAAACTTTTTTTTTTTTTTTTTTTTTGAGACAGAGTCTCTCTCCATCGCTCAGCCTGGAGTGCAGTGGCATGATCTCGGCTCAATGCAACCTCCACCTCCTAGGTTCAAGCCATTCTCATGCCTCAGCCAATAGCTGTGATTACAGGTGCATGCCACCACCGGCTGATTTCTGTATTTTTAGTAGAGACAGGGTTTTGCCATGTTTTTTTGTTTGTTTTGAGACAGGATCTTTCTCTGTTGCCCAGGCTAGAGTGCAGTGGCATGAACATGGATGGTTCACTGCAGCCTCGACCTCCTGGGTTCAAGTGATCCTTTTGTCTCAGCCTCCCAAGTAGCTGGGATTCCAGGTGGGAGCCACCATGCCCTCCTAAACTCTACCTTTTGGTGAGAGTGACTAGCCACCAAGGCACACTGTAAAGGCCTCAGATAACAGGAAGTGGTAGAGAACTGCGGCCAATCTAACACCTAGACAAATTCAAGGTGGGACCTATCAGGTACTATGCTTGTTACTTGGGTGATTAAATTACCTGTACACCAAAGCCCCATGACACACACTTTACCTATATAAGGAACCTACACATGTACCCCTGAACCTAAAGTAAAAGTTAAAAAATAAAATAATATAATTCAAAGTTTGGGCTACAGAGTATAAGTGAGAGATATTCAGCTACTGGGAGTTTATAAAAGACACACAAACATCGCACAAGAGCAAAAGTCAATTTGAACATCCACCACAGCCAGAGGAAACCAAAACCACTTCCAGTGTATGGCCGTCAGGTAAAGCATTTTGTCCCCCTCACCTCCTCTGCTTCTGGCTGTGAGGGAGAGGGTGGAGAGTCAGACACAGGAAGGCAAGAAAGAAATTCTTGAGGAAGCCAGCCACTCTGCCAGTTTCACACTGGCAGCTTCCCATGTCAAACCACTCAGTCGGAGCTGGCCGAGAGAAAAAACGTAATTCAGAATGATGCTTGGAGGATTTTTTTTTTTTGTTCCAAGGATTGAGCAGGTATGCTCTGTGGCCTGCCTGAGTTATCTTTCATGGGCAATGGAAGAACTAGCCCCACACAACATATTTAAAGGGGTGGGGACACTTGAGTGTGGGGGGTGCACAGCAACATATTCAAGCTTATGTACATGGCATCTGAGGTCGGGGCATGGAAGAATACTGAGGCACTGTGTGTATGTTATTTGTGCGTGAGAATGAAATTCCTTGACCCTGAAAACAGGACAGGGAGTGGAGTGTGTGGTGTGATAAGGAACGCTGAAAACAGCCTCCTGAGAATGCGGTTTGAGTGCTTTTACGAGGCCGCAGGTGTCTCACGACCCGACCTCAAAAAGCCATCTAGTGGATGTTTGTGGTTTAACAAGCACTTTCAATAAATACTTGGCAGACGGATGCTGGGGCGGGTTCTCTTAGAAGAAATGCCCCCCCCATTCCCCCGGCCCCACTCAGCTGGAATTGTCTAAGAACTCATTCTTGGCGTTCACTGCAAGCTATAAACTCTGCAAGTGGTGCACCCGACGTGATCGCCTTGAAGTTATGCGTGAAAGGAGGAGAGCTCATCAATTTTCAGAAAATCCCGGTAAGGGACAGTCCTGACTACCATCAGGTGGACAGGACCCACGCGAAAAATACCAGGGGTTCGGTTATCATGGGTCAGGAAATGAACAAAGAATAATTTTTTTTTTTTTTGAGATGGAGTCTCACTCTGTCGCCCAGGCTGGAGTGCAGTAGCGTGATCCCGGCTCACTGCAACCTCCACCTCCCTGGTTCAAGCTATTCTCCTGCCTCAGCCTCCTGAATAGCTGGGATTACAGGTGCACGTCACCCCACAACAGGACTTAATTAACCTTGCCTTCAAGGTGTACAATAATAGAGAAAAGTTACAATTACTTGCCTCTGCTGTGAGACAAAACCCAGCTGCACCTCCAGCACACGAGAACTTCAAAATGCCTAAGCCGCACATGCCTAAACCGCAGTGGTCAAGCATTCCTACAGGACCTTCTTCATCAGGATCTTGCTTCAAGTGCCAGAAATCTGGCCACTGGGCCAAGAAATGCCCACAGCCCGGGATTCCTCCTAAGCCGTGTCCCATCTGTGCAGGACCCCACTGAAAATCAGACTGTCCCACTCGCCTCGCAGTCACTCCCAGAGCTCTGGGATCTCTGGCCCAAGACTCTCTGACTGACTCCTTCCCAGATCTTCTCAGCTTAGCGGCTGAAGACTGATGCTGTCCGATCACCTTCGAAGCCTCCCGGGCCATCACGGACACTTTGGGTAACTCTTACAGTGGAGGGTAAGTCACCCTTCTTAATCAATATGGAGGCTACCAACTCCACATTACCTTCTTTTCAAAGGCCTATTTCCTTTGCCTCCATAACTGTTGTGGGTATTCATGGCCAGGCTTCTAAACCTCTTAAAACTCCCCAACTCTGGTGCCAACTTGGACAATATTCTTTTATGCACTCCTTTTTAGTTATCCCCACCTGCCCAGCTCCCTTATTAGGTCGAGACATTTTAACTAAATTATCTGCTTCCCTGACTAATCCTAGGCTACAGCCACATTTCGTTGCTGCCCTTTTCCCCAGTTCAAAGCCTCCTTCACGTCCTTCTCTTTTATCTCCTCACCTTAATCCACAGGTATGGGACACCTCTACTCCCTCCCTGGTGAACTATCCACGCCCATTACTATCCCATTAAAACCTAATCACCCTTACCCCGCTCAATGCCAGTATCCCATCCCACAGCATGCTTTAAAAGGATTAAATCCTGTTATCACTCACCTGTTACAGCATGGCCTTTTAAAGCCTATAAACTCTCCTTACAATTCCCCCATTTTACCTGTCCAAAAACCAGATAAGCCTTACAGGTTAGTTCAGGATCTGCGCCATATCGACCAAATTGTTTTGCCTATCCACCCTGTGGTGCCAAACCCATATACTCTCCTATCCTCAATACCTCCCTCCACAACCCATTATTCTGTTCTAGATAAACCTAGCTGACCCCATAGATCCTAAATCCTTTCTCCTCTCCCCTTTCCATTCCTTAAAACACAGCTCCCACACTAGCTCTCCATGACTCATCCCGACCCTTTTCATTACACACAGCCGAAGTGCAGGGCTGTACAGTCAGAATTCTTACACAAGGACCAGGACCGCACCCTGTAGCCTTTTTGTCCAAACAACTTGACTTACTGTTTTAGGCTGGCCATCATGTCTCCGTGCAGTGCCTGCCACTGCCCTAATACTTTTACAGGCCCTCAAAATCACAAACTATGCTCAACTCACTCTCTACAGTTCTCATAAATCTATTTTCTTCCTCACATCTAACACGTATACTTTCTGCTCCCCGGCTCCTTCAGCTGTACTCATTCTTTGTTGAGTCTCCCACAGTTACCATTGTTCCTGGCCAGGACTTCAATCCAGCCTCCCACATTATTCCTGATACCACACCTGACCCCCATGACTGTATCTCTCTGATCCACCTGACATTCACCCCATTTCCCCGTATTTCCTTCTTTCCTGTTCCTCACCCTGATCACACTTGGTTTATTGATGGTAGTTCTACCAGGCCTAATTGCCACACACCAGCAAAGGCAGGCTATGCTATAGTATCTTCCACATCTATCATTGAGGCTACTGCTCTGCCCCTCTCCACTACCTCTCGGCAAGCTGAACTCATTGCCTTAACTCGAGCCCTCACTTTTGCAAAGGGACTACATGTCAATATTTATACAACTCTAAATATGCCTTCCATATCCTGCACCACCATATTGTTATATGGGCAAAAAGAGGTTTCCTCACTACGCAAGGGTCCTCTGTCATTAATGCCTCTTTAATAAAAACTCTTCTCAAGGCCGCTTTACTTCCAAAGGAAGCTGGAGTCATTTACTCCAAGGGCCATCAAAAGGCGTCAGATCCCATCGCTCAGGGCAATGCTTTTGCTGATAAGGTAGCTAAAGAAGCAGCTAGCATTCCAAATTCTGTCCCTCACGGCCAATTTTTCTCATTCTCATGGGTCACTCCCACCTACTCTCCTGCTGAAACTTCTACCTATCAGTCTCTTCCCACACAAGGCAAATGGTTCTTGGACCAAGGAAAATATCTCCTAACAGCCTCACAGGCCCATTCTATTCTGCTGTCATTTCATAACCTCTTCCATGTAAGTTACAAGCTGCTAGCCCACCTCTTAGAACCTCTCATTTCCTTTCCATCGTGGAAATCTATCCTCAAGGAAATCACTTCTTAGTGTTCCATCTGCTATTCTACTACTCCTCAGGGAGTGTTCAGGCTCCCTCCCCTCCCTACACATCAAGCTCAGGGATTTGCCCCTGCCCAGGACTGGCAAATTGACTTTACTCACATGCCCCAAGTCAGGAAACTAAAATACCTCTTGGTCTGGGTAGACACTTTCACTGGATGGGTAGAGGCCTTTCCAACAGGGTCTGAGAAGGCCACTGCGGTCATTTCTTCCCTTCTGTCAGACATAATTCCTCGCTTTGGCCTTCCCACCTCTATACAGTCCAATAACAGACTGGCCTTTATTAGTCAAATCACCCAAGCAGTTTCTCAGGCTCTTGGTATTCAGTGGAACCTTCATACCCCTTACCATCCTCAATCTTCAGAAAAAGTAAAACAGACTAATAGTCTTTTAAAGACACACCTCACCAAGCTCAGCCTCCAACTTAAAAAGACTGGACAGTACTTTTACCACTTGCCCTTCTCAGAATTCGGGCCTGTCCTCGGAATGCTGCAGGATACAGCCCATTTGAGCTCCTGTATGGATGCTCCTTTTTATTAGGCCCCAGTCTTATTCCAGACACCAGCCCAACTCGGACTGCACCCCAAAAACTTGTCATCCCTTCTATCTTCTGTCTAGTCATACTCCTATTCACCATTCTCAACTACTCATAAATGCCCTGCTCTTGTTTACACTGCCGGTTTACACTGTTTCTCCAAGCCGTCACAGCTGGTATCTCCTGGTGCTATCCCCAGACCGCCACTCTTAACTCCCTCTTAAAGTAAATAAATAATATTTGCTGGCAGGGCACACTCCAATACTTTCACCCTGATGAAGTCCTATTCTTTACTTTTATACTCACTCCTATTCTTGTTCCCATTTTTATGCCACCCTCTACCTCTCCCCAGCTAGCTCCACCACACTATCAATCTCATTCACTCTCTCCTAGCCGTTTCTAATCCCTCATCGAACCATTGCTGAATTTGCATTTCCCTTTCTTCCTGCGCCTACACAGCTGTCCCCGCCTTACATACAGACTGGGCAACCTCTCCTATCTCCCTACACCTCCAAACTTCCTTTAACAGCCCTCACCTTTACCTTCCTAAAGAACTTCTTTACTTTCTAGACAGGTCCAGCAAGACTTCCCCAGACATTTCACTTCAGCAAGCTGCCGCCCTCCTCCACACTTACTTAAAAAACCTTTCTCCTTATATCAACTCTACTCCCCCCATATTTGGACCCCTCACAACACAAACTACTATTCCTGTGGCCGTTCCTTTATGTATCTCTCGGCAAAGACCCACTGGAATTCCCCTAGGTAATCTTTCACCTTCTCGATGTTCCTTTACTCTTCATCTCCGAAGCCCAACTACACACATCACTGAAACAATTGGAGCCTCCCAGCTCTGTATTACAGATAAGCCCTCTATCAATACTGGCAAACTTAAACACATTAGCAGTTATTATTGCTTAGGAAGACACTTACCCTGTATTTCACTCCATCCTTGGCTACCTTCCCCTTGCTTGTCAGACTCTCCTCCCAGGCCCTCTTCTTGTTTGCTTATACTCAGCCCCGTAAATAACAGTGAAAGGTTGCTCGTAGACACTCAAAGTTTTCTCATACACCATGAAAATCAAACCTCCCCCTCTACGTAGTTACCCCATCAGTCCCCATTACAACCTCTGACGGCTGCCGCCCTAGCTGGATCCCTAGGAGTCTGGGTACAAGACACCTCTTTCAGCACTCCTTCTCATCTTTTTACTTTGCATTTCCGGTTTTGCTCCGCACAAGGTCTCTTCTTCCTCTGTGGATCCTCTACCTACATGTGTCTACCTGCTAATTGGACAGGCACATGCACACTAGTTTTCCTTACTCCCAAAATCAATTTGCAAATGGGACTGAACATCTTCCTGTTCCCCTCATGACACCGACACAACAAAAAAGAGTTATTCCGCTAATTCCCTTGCTTGTCGGTTTAGGACTTTCTGCCTCCACTATTGCTCTCGGTACTGGAATAGTAGGCATTTCAACCTCTGTCACGACCTTCCATAGCCTCTCTAATGACTTCTCTGCTAGCATCACACACATATCACAAACTTTATCAGTCCTTCAGGCCCAAGTTGACTCTTTAGCTGCAGTTGTCCTCCAAAACCACCGAGGCCTTGACTTACTCACTGCTGAAAAAGGAGGACTCTGTATATTTTTTAATGAAGAGTGTTGTTTTTACCTAAATCAATCTGGCCTGGTGTATGACAACATAAAAGAACTCAAGGATAGAGGCCAAAAACTCGCCAACCAAGCAAGTAATTACTCTGAACCCCCTTGGGCACTCTCTAATTGGATGTCCTGGGTGCTCCCAATTCTTAGTCCTTTAATACCTGTTTTTCTCCTTCCCTTATTCGGACCTTGTATCTTCCGTTTAGTCTCTCAATTCATCCAAAACTGTATCCAGGCCATCGCCAATCATTGTATACGACAAATGCTCCTTCTGGGATTACAGGCGTGAGACACCGTGCCCAGCCATTTTTTTTTTCCTAAAGATGATAACCATTCTTTTCCAGCTGTCTTTTCTTTTTTTTTTTTTTTTTTGAGACAGAGTCTCACTCTGTCACCCAGGCTGGAGTGCAGTGGCGCGATCTCAGCTCATTGCAACCTCCACCTCCTGGGGTTCAAGCAATTCTCCCACCTCAGCCTCCTGAGTAGCTAGGATTACAGGCACCCGCCATCATGTCCGGCTAATTTTTTTTTTTTTTTTTTTTTGGAGAGATGGGGTTTCACCATGTCAGCTAGGCTGGTCTTGAACTCCTGACCTTAGGTGATCCGCCCGCCTCAGCCTCCCAAAGTGCTGGGATTATAGGCGTCAGCCACCACACCGGGCGACAAATGCTCCTTCTAACAACCCCACAATATCACCCCTTACCACAAAATCTTCCTTCAGCTTAATATCTCCCACTCTAGGCTCCCACACCGCCCCTAATCCCGCTCGAAGAAGCCCTGAGAAACATCACCCATTATCTCTCCATACCACCTCCAAAAATTTTCGCAGCCCCAACACTTCACCACTATTTTGTTTATTAATATAAGGAGATAGGAATGTCAGGCCTCTGAGCCCAAGTTAAGCCATCATATCCCCTGTGACCTGCAGGTATACATCCAGATGGCCTGAAGCAATTAAAGATCCACAAAAGAAGTGAAAATAGCCTCAACTGATGACATTCCACCATTGTGATTTGTTCCTGTCCCACCCTAACTGATAAATATATTCTCCCCCACCCTTACGAAGGTACTTTGTAATATTCTCCCCTGCCCTTAAGAATGTAGTTTGTATGCCTATCCCAAACCTATAAGAACTAATGATAATCCCACCACCCTTTGCTGACTCTCTTTTCGGACTCAGCCCGCCTGCACCCAGGTGAAATAAACAGCTTTATTGCTCACACAAAGCCTGTTTGGTGGTCTCTTCACACAGACGCCGGTGACACTATTTTCCTAAGCCTTCTGGCTAGTAGCCCCTAATTGTTCAGCTATTCCTCTAACAGCATCTCTAGTGTAGTTAATAAATCGCTATTGGTTGTAATAGACGTAGTTTACCCAATCTACACTTTTATTAATTGTTACCCACCAAAATGTTGACTTAAATCCTGCAGCAATTTGATTTTGGGCTTTAAATTGATCTGGTATTCCCCATGGGACTCTTAATTGTGTCTAAATAGACGTGAGAGTCGAAAGACCCATAAAGGGCTTCTCTTGCTTTATGATACTTATTTTTCCTTCCTCTCGTTGATGAAATAACAGGGTGAAAGGGATAGCCAATTGGAATAAAGCACAAGTGCCATTCCAGTTATTTGGCAGTGTCCAGTAAAGATCCACCACAATACCACCACACATCCACTCGGGGATGAACAAGGGCTGACTGATTGATAAGCTCTTGAAAATTCTTAAGCTCACTGCATCCTTCAGGTCTCCAAGGAATGCTAAGTTTCCTCCCTGTTGGGAGAGACACGAAGTGAACTTAGTGTTGGGAGACAGAAGCTGGATGGCCCTCGGGGGCTGACGCGCAGGGTGCCGGACTTCAGGATATAGCAGAGAGAGAGCTTGGCGTGAGTTATTACTCCAGGCTGTAGAATCCTGGAAAAGAGCTACCATGCAGCCCACACCTGGTCGACTGGAGGACCACCTTAGTGGAAAGGGGACAATCTGGGCCTCTGGCCTGCCATGTGCACAAGCATAACAATTGCTTTTGTTTAATGTGGACGGAATATTTGATCCATTCCAACCAGGCATTTGCATCTTGGTATCCTGTGTTAATTGCCAAAATGTTTTTTAAGTCTTTAACTTCTATGATCCTCTAGTAAAATGAATATATGGTTTTAGGAAATTACAAAAACTGATTGGGGCAGTCCATACTTGCTCTTTAGTGATCCACAGAACGTTGGACCGACTACGGCATAAAAGCTCTACATTGGGGGTCAAGAATCCTGGTTGACATTGGGATCTTTATCGAAATCCCCCCAGATTCAGTGGTCCTAATTTACTAATGCCCAGTGTGAGGAGAGTCAGGAGGGACAGAGGTACTTTTCAGAAGTAGAGAGCTGTCTTTGACTTGGCAAGTTCCTACGGGATATAACAAGGCAAGCACTAAATGCAATAGTTTGAGGCAAAATTGACTTGGTTATGTTAATAACTAGATGGTCAGCAATAGAGCGAGGAAAGGAGAAAGAGTAATAGAATAGATGAAAGAGTTAAATTTTTCTTAGCTTTAATTTGGTAGGGTTTCCCCCTGGGACTATGGCCCACAACTCTGGAGGGGGTGGTGCTTTCTTGACTCGGGTGTGATGAATCCATCCCTTTTTCGCTGTACAAACTGCAGTCTCGGTGGTTGGCAGCACAAGGTAGGGTCCTTCCCAGGCTGGCTCGAGTTTTCCTTCTTTCCACCCTCTGATGACAACATGATCTTCAGGCTGGTGCTGGTTTACCAGAAATTTTAGGGGTGGTACCTGTGCTAAAATATTTTTAGTTTTGAGGGAGAGGAAAGTGGAAGATAAACCAAGCATATAATTTCTAAGAAATCGACCTTTTGTTTTAAATGTGGGGACATCAGCAGTGGACTTTATAGTCCTTGGTGCCTTCTTACTGAGAAATTTCCTTTAGCACTTATTTTTATTAGTTTTTTTAGACCAAAGAACGCCAAACACCATTTTATATTTGACAGTGCTTCCTGTATGATTTTTATACCAGATAAGCTAAATTTCACCTTTATATTAGTGTGTTATTAATTTTTTTTTTTGAAACGGAGTCTCACTCTGTTGCCCAGGCTGGAGTGCAGTGGCGCGATCTTGGCTCACTGCAACCTCTGCCTCCCGGGTTCAAGCAGTTCTCCTGCCTCAGCCTCCCAAGTAGCTGGGACTACAGGCACACGCTGCCACGCCCGGCTAATTTTTTTGTATTTTAGTAGAGACGGGGTTTCACCTTGTTGCCCAGGCTGGTCGCGAACTCCTGAGCTCAGGCAATCTGCCCGCCTTGGCCTCCCAAAGTGCTGGGATTACAAGCGTGAGCCACCGCGCCCGGCCTATTAATGTTAAACTTAGTTTTAATAACACTTTGTAGACATATTTATCCAATTTTTAATGTCTGATCATAAGGTAAGTTTTTGTTTTTTGTTTTTTTGTTTTTTTTTTGAGATGGAGTCTTGCTCTGTCGCCCAGGCTGAAATGCAGTGGCACGATCTCGGCTCACTGCAAGCTCCACCTCTCGGGTTCACGCCATTCTCCTGCCTCAGCCTCCCAAGTAGCTGGGACTACAGGCGCCCATCACCACGCCTGGCTAATTTTTTGTATTTTTAGTAGAGACAGGGTTTTACTTGTTAGCCAGGGTGGTCTCTATCTCCTGACCTCATGATCCACCCACCTCGGCCTCCCATAGTGCTGGGATTATAGGCGTGAGCCACCGTGCCCGGCCCATAAGGTAAGATTTTTATAGACTGTTTTTTTTTTTTCTTTTTGAGAAGGAGTTTCACTCTTGTTGCCCAGGCTGGAGTGCAATGGTGCAATCTTGGCTCACTGCAATCTCTGCCTCCCGGGTTCAAGGAATTCTCCTGTCTCAGCCTCCCAAGTAGCTGGGATTACAGGCATGCACCACCACACCCAGCTAATTTTGGATTTTTAGCAGAGATGGGGGTTTCTCCATGTTGGTCAGGCTGGTCTCGAACTCCCGACCTCAGGTGATCTGCCTGCCTCGGCCTCCCAAAGTGCTGGGATTACAGGCATGAGCCACTGAGCCTGGCCTGTTTTTAACTTTTTATAATTTTTGTTAAAGAGCGGGTTAGTGCTTTAAGAAAAACCCGTTGTGTTTTTATTTTAATGCTCAGTTCACAGAAAAACTGGGTGATACCCTTTTAACCTTAGCCAATATGTTTACACACATAATTTCCATTACAATTAACATTTTAAAACTTGCTTAAACCTTCAAAACAAATTTTTTTTTCTTTTTTGAGATGGAGTCCCACTCTGTCACCCAGGCTGGAGTGCAATGGTGCGATCTTGGCTCACTGCAACCTCCGCCTCCCACGTTCAAGTGATTCTCCTGCCTCAGCCTCCTGAGTGAGTAGCTGGGATTACAGGTGCCCACCACAATGCCCAGCTAATTTTCGTATTTTTAGTTGAGACGGGGTTTCACCAGGTTGGCCAGGCTGGTCTCAAACTCCTGATCTCAGGTGATCCACCCACCTCGGCCTCCCAAAGTGCTAGGTAGGATTACAGGTGTGAGCCACCATGCCTGGCCACAAAATTTTTTTTTAACCTTTTAATGTAGGTAAAAATCCACATTCTTATGCCTCCTTATAATCCTTTTACTAAAAGTATATTTTACTTTCCTTATACATCTTGCACATAAATTGTTTCTTCAATAGTTTTACATTCAGGGTAACACCCCTGGTGGCCTTTGGAATGTGTCCAGACTTGCTGGCTTCTTGCTTCTAGCACTCCCATTATCTCAAGTAGCCATACATTTCAAAGAAAATGCTAAACCATCACATCTGTAGTTCATTAGCTTGATACATCGCTTCCTTTCAACCCCCACATCCTCACCCCCTGTTTGTTTGATCACCAATAAATAGTGTGGGCTTCCAGAGCTCCGGGCCTTTGCAACCTCCATACTAGTGTTGGCCCTCTGGTCCCACTTTCTCTCTGAACTTGTGTTTTCTCATTCCTTTGACTCTGCTGGACTTCGTAGCCCCCACGGCCTGGTGTTGGGTCTGATCACCCCAAAAGGTTGATGGCCTTTTTTTTTTTTCCTGCATTGCTGAGAGCTTGGGTTATTCCTTGCACTGGGTAGGTCTTGATTTTTCACCCCTGAGGCCGCCACAATAGGGCGGGGTTCACCTCCTCAAGAGAGAGAACCAGAGACCACCCCCAGAGGGGAATGTAATCCCAGACAAGCCCCCAAATTGTTATATATAAAGTTTCGGTGCCGCAAAAGGAATATCACTCAAATATAAAATTTTCCTTTTAATTCTCAGCAAGGCTAGGTACTTCTATATAGAAGGGTGCACCCTTACAGATGGAACAATGGTGAGCGCACACTTGGACAAGGGAGGGGAAGGGGTTCTTATCCCTAATGCACGTGGCCCCTGCTGCTGTTTCGTTCCCCTATTGGCTAGGGTTAGACAGCACAGGCTAAACTAATTCTGACTGGCTAATTTAAAGAGAATGACGGGATGAGTGCTTTGGCGGGAGTCAGGGCAGAGCAGGTGGCAGGTGATCAAAATGAGTTAGGGTGGAGCAGGAGATCAGAATGAGTCAGGGTGGAGTAGGTAATCAAAAAAGATTGCTTTACGAGGAAGTTAAGTTTAAAAGTAGAAGGTAAAGAATTGAACATAATGACAATTATTTGAAAAGAAATTTAGAACTCATATCTAATACCCTGGAATATAAGAGGAAGTTGCATGCTGCCTCCTCGGTTTTATCCCAGGTAGCTCTAGCTTTCTTGCTGCCCACAGAGGCCTGGAGCAGGAGAGATGCTAAGATGCCATGGAGTGCCCATTTGGCCACTGGCAGTCTGGGCAGGTTGCCCCTTTCTGGGTTTGTGGTGACGGAGGGGAGGCCAAAAGGCGCAGACTGAGTCCCCAGGTGGCTGCAGGCAGCTCCAGCCCAGTCCTGAGGATCCTCCTCACCATGGTCACCTGCCTTAGTAACTGTGCCCAGGAAGTGGCCTGCTGCTTGCTGTGCTGCTGCTTTTCCTACTTCTGCCCTTCCCTGCCACCCCTCACATGTCTCAGTTGACAAGCAATTCCTTGTCTCCCCTGGCCCCCTAGGGAAAGGGCTAAGAAACAGTCCATGTACACCCCGACCTTACTAGCCTAAGGTGGGCAAAGGAGTGTGGAGCAGCCTAGAGTACAGAGCCCTGGGGGAGGAGCCCGCTAATAAGGGACGCTCTCCTATAGCCATATTTAAATGCTAGCTAGGCTGAGGTGGACAAGCTCTGCCAGCTGCTGTCATCTTCAGAAGATAGACGCAGCAGTAAGGAATATTTGTTTTGCTTTTTTATAAAATGTTTAAAAGCACTGTGGCTAAGAAACTTCAGGCCGGGCGCGGTGGCTCATGCCTGTAATCCCAGCACTTTGGGAAGCCGAGGTGGGCGGATCACGAGGTCAGGAGATCGAGACCATCCTGGCTAACACGGTGAAACCCCGTCTCTAAATTAGCCCGCTGTGGTGGCGGGCGCCTGTAGTCCCAGCTACTCGGGAGGCTGAGGCAGGAGAATGCTGGGAGTGGTGGCATGCGCCTGTAGTTCCAGCTACTCTGGAGGTCAAGATGGGAGTCCAGGGCGGTTGAGGCTGCAGTGAGCCAAGATCGTGCCACTACAACCCAGCCTGGGCAACGGAGCGAGACCTTGTCTCAAAAAATTAAAATAAAATAAAAACTCCCACAAGGAAGAAAGTAGTCATCTTTATAGAGTCCTCTCCATGTAGTGTTAGCACAATCGCTCAAGAGGCACCCAATGTAGAGAAACGACGGTGAGGTTAGCAGTACCAAGGAGCAGGGTTTGAATCCCGGCTCTTGCTCTTTTTTTTTTTTTTTTTTTTTTTTTTTTTTTAGTATTTATTGATCATTCTTGGGTGTTTCTCAGAGAGGGGGATGTGGCAGGGTCATAGGATAGTAGTGGAGAGAAGGTCAGCAGATAAACACGTGAACAAAGGTCTCTGGTTTTCCTAGGCAGAAGTCCCTGCGGCCCTCGGCAGTGTTTGTGTCCCTGGGTATTTGAGATTAGGGAGTGGTGATGACTCTTAAGCATGCTGCCTTCAAGCATCTGTTTAACAAAGCACATCTTGCACCGCCCTTAATCCATTTAACCCTGAGTTGACACAGCACATGTTTCAGAGAGCACAGGGTTGAGGGTAAGGTTATAGATTAACAGCATCCCAAGGCAGAAGAATTTTTCTTAGTATAGAACAAAATGGTGTCTCCTATGTCTACTTCTTTCTATGCAGACACAGTAACAATCTGATCTCTCTTTCTTTTCCCCACATTTCCCCCTTTTCTTTTCGACAAAACCGCCATCGTCATCATGGCCCGTTCTCGATGGTCGCTGTCTCTTCAGAGCTGTTGCGTACACTTCCCAGACAGGGCAGCCTGGCAGAGGCGCTCCTCACCTCCCAGACGGGGTGGCCGGGCAGAGGCGCCCACTTCCCAGACGGGGCGGCCGAATCCCGGCTCTTTCATGTTTTAGCTGTTGGGCTTTGGGGAAGTTATTCTACCTCTTTCAGCCTGTGCACCCTGTCTCATCATTAAAAAATGAGAATGAGGCCAAGTGCAGTGGCTCATGCCTGTAATCCCAACGCTTGGGGAAGCGGAGGCAAGAGAATTGCTTGAGGCCAGGAGTTTGAGACCAGCCTGGGCAACATAATGAGATCCCAATCTCTGCAAAAAAATTTAAAAATTATCTGGGCATGGTAGCACACGCCTGCAGTTCCAGCTACTCAGGAGGCTGAGGTGGGAGGATCACTTGAGCCCAGGAATTTGAGGCTGTAGTGATTGCTCCACTGCGCTCTAGCCTGGGTGACAGAATGAGACCCTGCCTCAAAAAAAAAAAAAAAAAGTGAAAAGTGAAAATGATAATACCTACTATGAAGGATTGCTTTAAGAAGAAATGAGATAATGTACACAAAAGTACATCACATATCGCTTAGCATGTGGCTGAGACTCAGAAAAAATCCTGGCTTTGTTTTCCTGCATTGGGAGTTTATTGTTGTCAAAGTGATGGTTCCAAGAAGTCAAAGGAGAGCCAGAGAACTGGACAGCTCAGCAGCAGTTGGTTTGGGTCACCAAATGCCTCTCTTCCCTCCCTATTGCCACTGACTTAGATCCTGGAGATGTAAGGTTTTAAAAACAGCAGCCTATTATCTTTTATTTTTGGTAATCCTTGTAACCTGGTTCCCTATCTTAATGAAAAAAACCAATGGTTCTGGCTTTATTACCTAAAGAAAGGAATGACAGTATAATACCAATTATAAATAAATGGGTCAAATTTTTGGCTTTAGAGTTTCAAAGACTTATGGCATTAAAAAAAAAAAAAAGAAAAAATGGACCGGGCGCAGTGGCTCACGCCTGTAATCCCAGCACTTTGGGAGGCTGACGCGGGTGGATCACTTGCAGTCAGGAGTTTGAGACCATCCTGGCCAACATGGTGAAACCCCGTCTCTACTAAAAATACAAAAATTAGCCGGGTGTTGTGGCACGTGCCTGGAATCCCAGCTACTTGGGAGACTGAGGCATGAGAATCCCTTGAACCCGGGAGGCAGAGGTTGCAATGAGCTCACTGCACTCCAGCCTGGGCGACAGAGCAAGACTCTGTCTCAAAAAAAAAAAAGAAAAGAAAAGAAAAAAAGAGAAAATGAAGAGTTCCTTTTCTCAACACTCTCATCAATACATGCATGCACACACACTCTTGCATGCAGCCATGAATTCTCATGTGTGCATACACACATTCAAAGGACTAGATAAAGATTCTCCAGACTTTGCAATAGGGAAGTCAGGTGGAAGCAGGGAGCTAGAATGGATAATGTATGAAGAAACTATTAATGTGTTTTTTCCTTTTATACTCTTTTGCCTTCAGCAAGTAAATGACCTCTTTCTTATTTGGTTGTGGCATCAAACTGCTTGTGAGGAGATTAAGATTGTTTCAGAAGAAATATAAAGAGAAGGAAATGGTAATATGCATCTATTGAAATTCAAAATAGGATTTTGCAGCAAGACAATGGACTTGAAAACTGGACTATGAGAAAGAAATTGTTTTCTGCATTCATTTAGCTCCCATTTAACATAATCAAGAGCCAGATCTAGAATCAAGTTTCTACCAAAGGAGGAGGTAATTTAATCTCTCATCTTTGATTTCCTATATGTCCATAATGAGGATAATAACAGCTACCTCAACAGATTGTTTCCAAAGGGAACCCTTGTCTTTTGAAGTGGCAATTAGAGCTAGGAAGCCAAAGATAAGATATGAAAAGAATAAAAGAGAAGCCTACCACTTCTCATCTTGGAGTTTCAACAAGACGAAGGCAGGGAGGTGAGAGTCAAGGAGATGCCTTGGAATTGGGGGAATGGCTTCAGAAACATCCAGAAAACAGAAGAGATCACTGAAGCTGCTACAAAATTTTGCCCATTGTAGATAAGTGGGCAAATCAGGATGCACTGGCAGGGAGACAGGGTCTGTTTTGTGTTACCAGCCCTTTTCCAGTGATGGGTATTGAATTGAGAGCCATGGGCCTGCCATGGGGCATGGGGGGTAGGAAGAGGGTGACCTGGCAGCAGAGGCATGTGGTTTGCATAACTTGGTTAGGAGCTGAATGGGAGACATGGTAGAGATTCAGGGGTCCCACTGGGCTACCGAGAGCCACAGGGAGGTTGAGTCAGCCAGAAAGCACCAGTGAGATCAGATCCAGCCAAGAGATCCACGAGAAACTCTAAATGTTGACTTTAGCCAAAGGCCCCCAGGATGAATGTGACCAAGTACATACTGACTCATAAACCGGAGGAGCTGGAGGACACTCTGAGAACCCAAGGACCCTTGCTGTCCTCCTATACCTGTCCCCAGGAGATTGCTTAAGCCACTCTATTTATTTTCATGCTCATGGGTTTGTGAGTTGTCTGTGGTTTGTCTAATCAGGCTGGGCTTGACAGGGCTTGGTAGGACTCCTTTAGTCCTGGTCCAGTGTCTATTCTGGGTCACAGCTGAAGGGGCAATGGATATCTGGAATTTGCCTTTCTCTTGTCAGATCACAGGAGTGCAAGAGGCCAAGCCAAACTACAAAAGCACATTGAAAGCATCTGCTTGCATCGTGTCCTCTGACATTCTGTTGGCACAAGCAAGTCACACAGCAAAGGGGATGGATGTACACTTAAATAATAAGGAGGAAGCAAAGAATTGGGAATAACAGTCCAAACCACCACAGGGCCCTACCTACCCCCAAGAAGTAATATCCTCAGATTGATCTGGGAAATCCAAGAGCAGATGATGTTTCCCATGTGCCAAGAATATCAGTGGAGTATCACACAGAGGGCCCCAAAAGCCAGCACGCCAAGGATGATGGAGCAGGATGAAGAGACCCTGGGTCTTAGATAATATCGTTAGGGGGCTTACTGGCTGCTGACCTCCGGACATTTTTGAAATATGAAACAATTAAATGTCTTTATTAACTGACATTATTAGCTGAGTTTTCTGTTGCTTTCATCTGAATGCATCCTCACTGTTGCAGGACTCTATTTTTATTTTTATTTATTTATTTATTTTTGAGATGGAGTTTCACTCTTGTCGCCCAGGCTGGAGTGCAATGGTGCCATCTTGGCTCACTGCAACCTCCACCTCCCGAGTTCAAGTGATTCTCCCACCTTAGCCTCCCCAGTAGCTGGGACTACAGGCATGTGCCACTATGCCAGGCTAATTTTGTATTTTTAGTGGTGACAGGTTTCACCATGTTGGCCAGGCTAGTCCTGACCTCAGGTGATCTGCCCACCTCGACCTCCCAAAGTGCTGGGATTACAGGCTTGAGCCACCACGCCCAGCCTTGTTGCAGGACTCTTATTAACCCTATTTGTCCATGAGACCCAGAGACATAAAGGCGGGAGTTTGGGTTTTTTGTTTTGTTGTTTTTTCAGGCAGCCCTCTGAACCAAAATGGGTTCAGAGAGACTCCCTGGAGGTTGGGTTTGATCTCAGACTTTGTCTCCAGAGCACATGCTTTTACCCACCATTGTGTTATCCTACCTTCCAAGCTTGCGTGAGGCTGAAGTGTCTTATGTACTTGTAGTTTATTCAAAGGATAAAGTGGTAAAATGCCCTCATAGTGAAAAAGTGAAAGGTCTGTGCATGGCAGTAAAAAAGTGCCAATGTGACCTTGGTCTGGCCGGTAGCTGGTCAACTCAGGAAAGAGTCAGCTCCCAGAGACCCCTACTCAGTTGTAAGGCTTGTCTTGGGATTGCCCCAGCTTTACTCAGAGAGGAATGTTGTAGTGAAGGTGACTCCATCCAACAATTTAGTCAAACCTGCTTGCTTGAATCAGGCCCTCTCAAGTACCTCCTCCCTTCATTACTCTATTCTCCTTTGAGATACTGGGAAGGAAATTTAGCAAATAGCTGGTCTAAGCCATCAGCTCTCAGATCCACTCTATAGATTAAGATATCTGGATCACATGGAAATATTTGTCTAAGTTGATACCAGGGACAGACCCAACCATGGTCTGCCCCCCAGGAGGTGCTCAGTCAGGATTTACTAATAAACAAACAAACCATCATCTAGTATTAAGGACTGATGATTGTCACTAGGATCCAGCGATAACTTGACTTAAAGTTCTATTTGCCAGAATATTCAGGGTTATTGACATTCAAGGGAACTGACTGACGCTAGCCAAAGTCACACGAGACTGATAGGTAAGCTAGAATACCTGGGACATTGATTTTTTCAGTGAGTAGTGAATTCTTGTTCCTCAGCCTAAGGCACTTCCTGGTACTAAGGTGCAGATGCAGACTAAACAAGATGATGACCCAACATGAGCCAGAGGGTCAGAACCTGGTGAGGGAAGTTTCTCCAGGGCCCTGCAGAAGCCACTGAGCTATCCGTGCCTTGGGTGGATTTAGGAATTTTGAAAGTGTGACTTAGGCCGGGTGTGGTGGCTGACGCCTGTAATCCCAGCACTTTGGGAGGCCGAGGCGGGTAGATCACGAGGTCAGGAAATCGAGACCATCCTGGCTAACACGCTGAAACCCCGTCTCTACTAAAAAATACAAAAAATTAGCCAGGCGTGGTGGTGGGCGCCTGTAGTCCCAGCTACTCGGGAGGCTGAGGCAGGAGAATGGCATGAACGCGGGAGGCGGAGCTTGCAGTGAGCCAAGATCGCACCACTACACTCCAGCCTGGGCGACAGAGTGAGACTCCGTCTCAAAAAAAAAAACAAAACAAAAACAAAAACAAAACAAAACAAAAAAACTGGAAAATCTAGTCCTGCCCAAGCTCCTCTCTCTGTCTTTGAGGGGAGCCAATCTCCAGAAATCGCTGCTGTCTTCCCCATTACCCTGCATGGCTGCTGGCTCCCAGGTGACCATCCCAGAATCTCCAAGTGTTCAGGGCCACCTCTGCTGCATCTGCCAGAACTCCCAAGCTTCACTGACCTCCTATGATGATGGGGCCCCTGGTGCTGACACAGCTCAGCCTCTTTATGAGAGGCTCCTGCACAGAGGGACCAGGACTGCACTGACACCTCCTTGCCTAGGGCTCTGCTTCCACAGCTGGGCTGTAGCCCTTCTTTCTTCCGGTCTTCTCCTTTGTTCTGAAGCAGGAGGACTTCCCAGGGCATTCCAGTTTGCCGTGTTTCTTTCACTCATTCCGCCAAACGTATTTATTGGTGGCCAATTTTGTGACATCAATGTGCTAAGCACTGGGGTAGTGGTGAACAAAAGTTAGGTCCCTGTCCATGTAGTTTAGGGTCCAGCTGAGAATACCAACATTTAATGAGACATCACAATGAAATGTGCTGAGAGTCATGGAACAGAGACACCTAATCTAGTGGGAGAGAAAGCAAAGCCCTTTCTAACAATGTGAAGTTTATGATGAGAACTGGAGAATGAGTAGAAATTAGCCCCGTAAAAGAATGGGGGCGAAGAGGCTTACTGTTTTATACAAATTGCTTCCAATAGCAGAAAAATGCTTCATGAGATAATTACCTAGATACAGAGTTATAACCAACATTAAAAACAAAACAAGCGGCCAGGCGTGGTGGCTCACGTCTGTAATCCCAGCACTTTAGGAGGCCGATGTGGGCAGATCACGAGGTCAGGAATTCGAGACCAGCCTGGGGAAGCCAACATGGAGAAACCTTGTCTCTACTAAAAATACAAAAATTAACCGGGCGTGGTGGTGGGCGTCTGTAATCCCAGCTACTCAAGAGGCTGAGGCAGGAGAATCGCTTGGACCTGGGAGGCAGAGGTTGCAGTGAGCCGAGATTGTGCCACTGCACTCCAGCCTGGGCAACAGAGCAAGACTCCGTCTCAAAAACATAAAAAAAAACAAAGAAAAGAAAACTAAAAACAAACAAGCAAAGAAAAAAAAATGCCTTTCAAAAAGAGAGTATACTTTCAAACTATTTTATAAGACTTAATATAACCTAGTCTGGTAGCAGTGGCTCATGCCTGTAACCCCAGCATTTTGGGAAGCCAAGGCGGGTGGATCTCTTGAGGCCAGGAGTTCGAGACCAGCCTGGCCAACATGGCAAAACCCCATCTCTACTAAAAATTTAAAAACATTTTTTTAAAAAATTAGGCGACCATGGTGGCACATGCCTGTAATCCCAGCTATTCGGGATGCTGAGACACAAGAATAGCTTGAACCTTGGAGGTGGAGGTTGCAATGAGCTGAGATTGTGCCACTGCACTCCAGCTTGGGTGACAGAGCGAGACTCTTATCTCAAAAAAAAAAATTAATATAACCTCTATAACAATATTAGACAAAGACAGTGAAAGAAAGGAAAGCTATAGGCTAATCTCACTGACAAACATACCTGGAAAAATCCTAAATAAAAGTTTTGCAAATGAAACCAAGCTGTGTGTGTGAGCATGTGTGTGTATTTGTGTACAATGCTAACTTGACAATGAAAAATAAAAGTCCATAAATAATGACTTATTTCACTTAGCATAATGTTTTTGAGGTTCCTCACCGTTGTAGCATATAATGTATCACTACCACATTCCTTTTTTTTTTTCTTTCCTTGAGACAGGGTCTTACCATTGCCCAGGCTGGAGTGTAGTGGTGTGATCATGTTTCACTGTAGTCTCCGCCTCCTGGGCTCAAGTGATACTCCAACCTCTTGCCTTCCGAGTAGCTGGGACCACAGGCACGAGTCACCATGTCCGGCTAATTTTTTTTTTTTTTTGAGGAAGCAATTTCTTTAATTTTATCAGAATCCAGGACACAAGAAGAAAAACACCCAAAAACCACATGGAGACAGAAGACAAGACACAACTCCTCCCCCACTGCCTCCCTGCTCTAGAGTGGGGACAAAGTGGGGGTGAGACAGCTGGGGGGAGACCTGAACCTCAGTCCAGCCCTACAGACTCCAGGCCTGCAGGGAAGGAGGGTAACGGGGAGGCAGGGCCCAGCCCCCCAGTGTGGGGAAACAGCTGAGGGAAGGCCCCCCTCAAAAGGCTCCACCTCCTCACCAGCACTCCTGCCCAGGGACAGGGAGCCCACAGCAGCAAGGGGACCCCCGGGGCCATGGCCACGTTCATGACTGAGAAGCAGCTGAGTGGAGGCAGGAGACACAAGATTATCTGGGCAGAATCAGTTGGGGCAGGGGCCTGGGAGGGCCCCATGGGCCAAACCCTAAGGTTACAGGAGGGGGCCCAAAGTGGGGCTAGTGAGTGAGGTCCTGAGTGAGTGGGTCAGTGGCTGGGCCTCTTTCTCCAGCTGCCTGTAGCCCCTCCAATACTGCTGCCAGGGGGGCCCGCCTCCAGGGAAATGGGATAAGAAAGCAGCCTGCCCCTACTGCAGACAGAGCCAGGTGGCTGAGGCCAGGAAGGAAGGCCCAGCCAGGCCTTGCCACCTGCCCCTAGAGGCCTGTGGGAAAAGGACAGGTCAGGAAGGGTGGGGACAGGGGCTCGACCAGCTCAGACCCAAGATGGTGCCATGCTTACTTGCTGAGTCCCCCATGAGCTGGGGTACTGCACTGGGGCCAGCGACTAGTTAGACAGGAGGCAGCAGCTTCTCAAGAAATTCCTTCACAGCTGCCATCTCCTGAGGACAGGAGCTGTGCATGACACCCAGGTATGTCTGGAACTGGACCCTGGCAGGTGTGACAACAGACTGGAGCTTCTCAGCCATCAGGGCCCCAAACCGTACGGGCACCATGGGGTCCAGCTCCCCATGGCACTGGAGGATGGCCAGGTCCTTGGCACTGCCATTAGCTGCCTGGGGGAAGGCCCGGTGCAGAGGCGGCCAGCAGCTCAAAGCCAGGATGCCAGCCAGAGGGTGGGGGCAGGTGAGGGCCATGTAGAGGGACAGGGCCCGGCCCTGTGAAAAGCCTCCCAGGATGATTTGATTGGCAGGGATCCCGTTCTTCATTTCATGCTCAATCAAGGCCTTGATGTTCTCTGCTGCCTTCTTGATGCCAGCCTCGTCCTCTGGGGCATCTGGACTCAGCCCCATCAGGTCAAACCAGGAGGGCATCACCATCTTCATGTTGAGGGTCACAGGGATCCTAGGCTCATGGGAACAGATGTACTTGACGTGAGGGAGCCGAATGGTGGAGAGGGCGTCAGCCCAGCTGTGCCCTGTTTCTCCAAGTCCATGTAAAAAAATAACCACGGCCGTTTCCCGCTCAGCTCCAGACACGGTGGCAGCATCGTTGAGCAGGGGCACAGACATGGTGTTACCACACATACACCACACGGCTCCATGGCAGGGGCCTCCACTCCCTGGGACTTCTGAGGCCGCTTGGGTGATTCTCCTCTTTCTCCCGCAGACACACACTCTTCCCCCTCGGCCGCCCCCGCCGGAACACTAATTTTTTTATTTTTTTATTTTTAGTGGACATGGGGTCTCCCTATGTTACTTACCTAGCCTGGTCTCAAACTCCTAGGCTCCAGGGATCCTCTTGCCTCAGCCTCCCAAAGTGCTGGGATTACCACGCTCAGCCCATCACTCCCTGTGTTCCTTTCATTTATTTTTTTCTTTGAGACAGAGTCTTACTCTGTCACCCAGGCTGGAGTGCAGTGGTATGGTCATGGCTCACTGCAACCTCAACCTCCCAGGCTCAAGTGATCCTCCCATCTCAACCTCCCTAGTAGCTGGCATTCCTTTTTATGGCTGAATAATACTCCATTGCCTGTACAGATCACAATTTATTTATCCATTCATCAGTTAGTGGGCATTTGGGCTGTTTTCACCTTTTGGCTATTATAAATAATGTTGCTATAAACATTTGTATACAAGTTTCTGTGTGGATATATATCTTCATTTTTCGTGGGTATATACCTGGGAGTAGAATTGCTGGATCATCTCATAGATAAACAAAGCCAGACACTAGCTAAAGTGGTAAGGACAGGACAGGCACAGAGGCTCACGCCTGTAATCCCAGCGCTTTGGGAGGCCGAGGCAGGCGGATCACTTGAGGCAAGGAATTCGAGACCAGCCTGACCAACATGGTGAAACCCCATCTCTACTAAAAAACAAAAATTAGCTGGGCATGGTGGTGCACACCTGTAATCCCAGCTACTCAGGAGGCTGAGGCAGGAGAATCGCCTGAACTCGGGAGGCAGATTTTGCAGTAAACCAAGATTGTGCCATTGCACTCCAGCCTAGGCCACATAGCAAGTCTCCGTCTCAAAATAATAAATAAATAAATAAATAAATAAATAAATAAATAAAGTGGTAAGAACAGATTTTAATCAGTGACATATTATTGCAATAGGGAAAAGAGCCTAGCTTGAACTGAACTCAACTTTGATTTGTAGAGATAACTGGGCATTTTAAAGCAAGAATGAAAGAACAGAGAGGGTGAGTGGGGACTCAATGACGTCAGAGAAGTGACAGATTACAAAAAGTGGGAAGGGGGTTGGTCTGTGTTAAGCCCACCTGGCCTTGTTAGCTGGGGCTTATCATTAGGCTCCTACACTCTCACAGCAGCTGGGAAACAGGGGCCTTACCTTCATCTGTGGGCTGGAACAAACAGTACATTCTTTTGGCAGCCTTGAGTTCTCTCAGTCAGACACTTTAAAGGGCATTAGGGTCATCCTAGAGATGTGGCCTTGAACTGTTAGAAACTATGTTAGTGTTCATGAAAGTCTTTATCAAGTCGGACGCAGTAGCTCATGCCTATAATCCCAGCACTTTGGGAGGCCGAGGTGGGCGGGTCACTTGAGGTCAGGAGTTCGAAACCAGCCTGGCCAACATGGTGAAACCCCATCTCTACTAAAAATACAAAAAAAACTAGCTGGGCTTGGGGGCAGGCGCCTGTAATCCCAGCTACTCAGGAGGCTGAGGCAGGAGAATTGCTTGAACCCGAGAGGTGGAGGTTGCAGTGAGCTAAGAACGGGCCATTGCACTCCAGCCTGGGGGCAACAAGAGTGAAACTCTGTCTCAAAAAAAAAAAAAAAATCCTGGTTTTTTTTTTTTTACCTTTTTTTTTTTTTTGAGACGGAGTCTTGCTCTGCTGCCTAGGCTGGAGTGCAGTGGTGCGATCTCGGCTCACTGCAACCTCCGCCTCCCTGGTTCACGCCATTCTCCTTCCTCAGCCTCCCAGGTAGCTGGGACTACAGGCGCCTGCCAACACACCCCGCTAATTTTTTGTATTTTTAGTAGAGGTGGGGTTTCACTGTGTTAGCCAGGATGGTCTCGATCTCCTGACCTCGTGATCTGCCCGCCTCAGCCTCCCAAAGTGCTGGGATTACAGGTGTGAGCCACCGTGCCCAGCCCCTGGTTATCTTTTTGTACCTTTTGAAATATATGTAAATATGCTGGTTTTGCAAACATTAAATTAATAATAAAAGCCATGCCATAGCAGACTACATCATATATAGGTATATAACCAATAAAGAATTACTGTCTAGAATTTACAAAGAACTCCACAAATCGATATGAAAAAGACAACCAACCCAAGAGAAAAAAAAATTTAAATATAGGAAAGACAATCCCTCAAAGAGAAAATAGAAAATGCAAATTAATACTGACATTTTGGGCTTCAAAAAAAAGCAAATTAAAATAACGACAAGGGCTGGGTTCAGTGGCTCACGCCTGTAATCCCAGCGCTTTGGGAGGCTGAGGAGGGTGGATCATGAGGTCAGGAGTTCAAGACCAGCCTGGCCAAGATGGTGAAACCCCATCTCTACTAAAAATACAAAAATTAGCCAGGTGTGGTGGCAGGTGCCTATAATTCCCGTTACTCAGGAGGCAGAGGCAGGAGAGTTGCTTGAACCCAGGGAGGGGGTGGGGGCGCAGAGGTTGTAGTGAGCTGAGATCATACCACTGCACTCCAGCCTGGGCAACAGTGAGACTCCGTCTTAAAATAAATAAATAAATAAATAAATAAATAAATAAATAAATAAATACATACATACATACATAAAATAAAATAACGATGAGGTGAAAAAAATAAAATTAATAAAATTAAAAATAAAATAATAAAATAACAAGGCGACATTCATTAAATTGGCAAAGACAGGTTTGGGAATATCAGATGTTGCTGAAGCTCCAGGGCAACAGGGACTTTCTTCTAGTGGATGGGAGCGTAAACCAGAAAAACCACTGTGGAGACCATTTGGCAATATCTAGTAGAGTTGATAATACAACTCTACTTATGAGCTTATACCCAGCCTCTCCCACATTTGCTCAAGAAGGCATGCAGAAGTATGTTCATTGCAGCATTTTTTAATATAACAGTATATAAAGTAATTGGAAATACTTTAAAATCCATAAACAGAAGAATGGATACATTATTTGTGATATATTTATATAATTGAATATTAAAGAGCTGCGTTATCCCACATGGTAGCAATGAGCCACATGAGGCTATTTAAACTTAAATTTAAATAATTAAAATTACGTCTATGTTTCACATTTTAAAAATTTAAATTTAGTTCCTTGGCCAGGCACGGTGGCTCACGCCTGTAATCCCACCACTTTGCCGAGGCGGGCGGATCAGGAGGTCAAGAGATCGAGACCATCCTGGCCAACAGGGTGAAACCCCATCTCTACTAAAAATACACAAATTAGCTGGGTGTGGTGGCACATGCCTATAGTCCCAGCTACTCAGGAGGCTGAGGCAAGAGAATCGCTCGAACCCTGGAGGTGGAGGTTGCAGTGAGCTGAGATCACGCCACTGCACTCCAGCCTGGCGACAGAGCAAGACTCCGTCTCAAAAATTAGTTCCTTTGTCACATTAGCCACATTTCAAGTGCTCAGTAGCCACATGTGATTAGTGAGTACCCATATTAGACAATGCTGATATAGAAAATTTCCATCATTGCAGAAAGTTCTATTGGACAGCACTGTTCTACAACATAAAATGAGCTAACTGGGTCTAAATATTTCAAAAAGAAAAAAAAACAAAAAACATCAAAATATAAGACTCAAAAATATGAAGTTCATCAGAAAAAGAAGGCAAGTTGTAGAACACATAGAATATCCTCCTATTTAAAATTTGGTACAGCATGATGACTATAGTTAATAACAATGTATTGTAGGCGCGGTGGCTCACACCTGTAATCCCAGCACTTTGCAAGGCTGAGGAGGGCAGATCACCTGAGGTCAGGAGTTCGAGACCAGCCTGGCCAATATGGTGAAACCCCATTGCTACTAAAAATACAAAAATTAGCTGGGTGTGGTGGTGCGCACCTGTAGTCCCAGCTACTTGGGAGGCTGGGGCAGGAGAATCTCATGAACCCGGAAGGCAGAGGTTGCAGTGAGACGAGATCACACCATTGTACCTCAGCCTGGGCGTCATAGCAAGACTCCCTCTCAAAACAAACAAAGCAAAACAGGCCAGGCATGGTGGCTCACGCCTGTAATCCCAGCACTTTGGGAGGCCGAGGGGGGCGGATAACGAGGTCAGGAGATTGAGACCATCCTGGCTAACACGGTGAAACCCCGTCTCTACTAAAAATACAAAAAAAAAATTAGCTGTGTGATGGCTGACGCCGGTAGTCCCAGCTACTTGGGAGGCTGAGGCAGAAGAATGGCATGAACCCAGGAGGCGGAGCTTGCAGTGAGCCGAGATCGCGCCACTGCACTTCAGCCTGGGTGACAGAGCGAAACTCCGTCTCAAGAAAAAGACAAACCAAACCAAACCAAACCAATATATTGTATTCTTGAAAAATGTTAAGAGATTGAATGTTGTGTTCTCACCACAAAAATGGTAATTATGTGAGGTAATGCATATATGTTAATTAGCTAGATTTAGTCATTCCAAGTTTATATATGCTTCAAAATAGCATGTAATACCTATGGAAACTAAGAATTAGGCTGGGCACAGAGGCTCACACCTGAAATCCCAGTGCTTTGGTAGGCCAAGGCAAGAGGATTGCGTGAACCCAAGAATTTGAAACCAGCTTGGGCAACATAGGCAGGCCATGTCTCTACAAAAAATACAAAAAATTAGCTGGGAGTGGTGGCTGGAGCCTGTAGTCCCAGCTATAGGCTGAGGTGGGAGGATCACTGGAGCCCAGGTGTTTGAGACTGCAGTGAGCCTTGACTGTGGCAGTGCACCCCAGCCTGGGAGACTTGTCTCAAGAAAATACTGAAAATAAAAATAAAAAAGCAGGCCAGGCGCGGTGGCTTACGCCTGTAATCCCAGCACTTCGGGAGGCTGATGTGGATGGATCACTTGAGGCCAGGAGCTCAGGAACAGTCTGGACAACAAGGAGAAACCCCATCTCTATCAAAAAATACAAAAATTAACTGGACATGGTGGTGCATGCTTGTAGTCCCAGCTACTCTGGAGGCTGAGGCATGAGAATCTCTTGAATCCAGGAGGTTGAATTTGCAGTGAGCCAAGAAGATCACTCTACTGCACTCCAGTCTGGGTGACAGAGCTAGAATTTGTCTCAAAAATAAATAAATAAATATTTAATAAATAAATAATCAAACCAAAACCAAACCATCATGTCCTATATGATAAATATGTAAAATTTATCTGTCAGTTTAAAAATAATAGGCTGGGCACATTGGCTCATGCCTGTAATCCCAGCACTTTGGAAGGCCAAGGCAAGTGGATCACCTGAGGTCAGGAGTTTGAGACCAGCCTGGCCAACATAGTGAAACCCTGTCTCTACTAAAAATACAAAAATTACCTGGGCGTGTAATCCCAGCACTTTGGGAGGCCGAGGCAGGTGGATCATGAGGTCAGGAGATTGAGACCAAAAAAAAAAAATTTTTTTGAGACAGAGTACTCTGTCACCCAGGCTGGACTGCAGTGGTGTGATCTTGGCTCACTGCAACCTCTGCCTCCCCAGTTCAAGGGATTCTCCTGCCTCAGCCTCCCGAGTAGCTGGGATTACAGGTGCCCACAACCATGCCTGGCTAATTTTTGTATTTTTAGTAGAGATGGGGTTTCGCCATGTTGGCCAGGCTGGTCTCGAACTCCTTACCTCAGGTGATCTGCCCATCTCGGCCTCCCAAAGTACTGAGATTACAGGCGTGAGCCACCACACCTGGCCTCTAAGAACTCTTTTTTTTTTTTCCGAGACGGAGTCTTGCTCTGTCACCCAGGCTGGAGTGCAGTGGCCCGGCCATAAAAACTCTTGAACAAGAATGGATGGGGGCTGGGCACGGTGGCTCATGCCTGTAATCCTAGCCCTTTGCTGAGGTTGGCAAATCACTTGAGGTCAGGAGTTGGAGACCAGCCTGGCCAACATAGCAAAACACTGTCTCTACTAAAAATACAAAAAGTAGCCAGGCGTGGTGGAAGGTGCCTGTAATCTCTGCTACTCAGAAGGCTGAGGCTGGATAATCCCTTGAACCCAAGAGGTGGAGGTTGCAGTGAGCCGAGATCTTGCCATTGCACTCTGGCCTAGGCAACAGAGTGCAACTGCCTCTCAAAAGAAAAAAAAAAAGAATTGATGGGTTGGCAGGGTACTGACACTTGGAGGTGCTGGGAGGGTGGTGCCCAGATGGGCCATGGAAGCGCCAAGCCTCTTCCTCCCAAAAGCTCACCCTATGCATCTTTTAAATCCAGCTATTCATCTATATCTTTAAAACGTCCTGCATAATTAAGTGATAAACGTGTTTCCCTGAGTTCTGTTAGCAATCCTAGCAAATTATGAAGCCAAGGAGGGGGTTGTAGGAACCCTGATTTATAGCAGGTTTGTCAGAAGCACAGATCACAGCCTTGGTCTTGGAATTGGCATCTAAAGTGGGAGGCAGTCTTTTGGGACTCAGCCCTCCCCCTGTGGAATCTGATACCATCTCCAGGTAGCTAGTGGCTGAATTGAATCAAATAGGCCACTCAGTATTTGCTGGATAGTTAACTGTTTGGTGTGTGGAGAAAAAGTCCCATACATCTGGTCACAAGTGTTTTGTGTTGTGTGAGCAGACAGGGAGGGTCTTCAGGGATTACAGAAATTTAATCACCCTGAGCAATTGGCTTGTTTTACAGCCTCCTGCCGTGCAGCCTCTTTTTTCCTAAACCCTGTGTTGACTGCAGTCACCTAGTTGGTTAAAACTGGCTCCTGGCAGACCCCAGAAACTTGTAGATAAACCTGAGTGAAAGTTCCTCATTACCATGCTGAAATCTCCATCCTGGGAGGAGCTGTGGCTTCATTCTCATAGCATGTGACCTGTGTGCGGGCGTGAGGATTCACTGTGTTTCCAAAACTGGGACCCCTCCTCTACATGCAATGAGGCACCCTCTCCCCTCCCCATCACCCCCTAAAATCCTCCTGTCACTTCTCTCCGGGAGACACTGCTTTGAAGAATCCTCCCAGTGCTCTCCTTACTTGTAATTAAACTCCTGTTGATTAAAACCTGCCTTGTGGAGAGTCATTTGTTATTTGCCAGGCAAACAAACCCTGTTTTTTTTCAGGTAACAAGAGTATGGTGGAAGAAAACAGTTTAGGTCAGGCACAGTGGTGCATGCCTATAATCCCAGCACTTTGGGAGGCCGAGGCAGGTGGGAGGAACACTTGAGCCCAGGTGTTGGAGACCAGCCTGGGCAACATAGTGAGACACCCCCCAACTCCACCCCCATAAAAAAAAAAAGAAAAAAAGATGTAATCCCAGCACTTTGGGAGGCTGAGGCAGGCGGATCACTTGAGGTCAAGAGTTGGAGACCAGCCTGGGCAACATGGTGAAACCCCGTTTCTATTCAAAATATAAAAAAATTAGCCAAGCATGGTGGTGGGCGCCTGTAATCCCAGCTACTCCAGAGGCTGAGGCAGGAGAATTGCTTGAACCCGGGAGGTGGAGGTTGCAGTGAGCCGAGATCCTGCCATTGCACTCCAGCCTGGGTGACAGATCGACACTTAGTCTCCAAAAAAAAAAAAAAAGAGGCCAGGCACAGTGGCTCACACCTGTAATCCTAGCACTTTGGGAGGCCGAAGCGGGTGGCTCACCTGAGGTCAGGAGTTTGAGACCAGCCTGGCCAACATGGTGAAACCCCATCTCTACTAAAAATACAAAAATTAGCCGGGTGGGGTGGCACGGGCCTGTAATCCCAGCTACTTGGGAGACTGAGGCAAGAATTGTTTGACCCGGGAGGTAGAGGTTGCTGTGAGTTGAGATCGTGCCAATGCACTCCAGCCTGGGTGACAGGGTGGGACTCTGTCTCAAAAAAAAAAAAAAAAAAAAAAAGTTTGTGTTTACAGTTGTATAAGGAAGTGGTGTCTGTGAGGTTTGCTGAGGCTCAGAAATTAATACCCCAAAATATGCCAACATGCTGAACTGAAGAAGAAACTTCAAGGTTTCTCTGACCTCTCTTCTCAACCAGCTCTCCCACAGGCAGGATGAGTTATTCTCTGAAGTTCCTTTATCTGCTTCAAGTCCAGACATACCACAAAGAATAATTGTTTTCTCTTCCCCTCCCTGTAAGATCAGGAATGGAATCACACCTGAGCAGGTCCTTTCCCAAAAGAGTCTGTCTCTCAGCTCATTCACATTCCACAGGGAACTATTCAAAACTCAATCTCTATCTCTGGGCCCATTCATTCTCCCTAATAATCGCCTATGGCCCCTCAAGAGAATTCCTGTTCCCTATCCCATAACCTGTTTTGCCAGGATGGTAAATAAGCTCCTGAACCCTGTTGTGGATTGGTTAATCACTCTGTGGTTCTCTCTGTGTACACATTAATCCATTTATATGCCTCTTCTCCAATGCACCTTTTTTTTTTTTGTTTTGTTTTGTTTTGTTTTTTGGACAGACTCTTGCTCTGTCGACAGGGCTGGAATGCAATGGCACAATCTCAGCTCACTGCAACCTCCACCTCCTGGGCTCAAGTGATTCTCCTGTCTCAGCTTCCCGAGTAGCTGGGATTACAAGCACACGCCACTGTGCCCAGCTAATTTTTATATTTTCACCATGTTTCCAGGCTGGTTTTGAACTCCTGACCTCAGGTGATCCACCCGACTCAGCCCCCCAAAGTGCTGGGATTACAGATGTGAACCACCGTGCCCAGCCTGCATCTATCTTTCGTGAGTTAATTTTCCAGCCAACCTTCAGAGGGCGAAAGGGAAGTTTTCCTTTGGCCCATACAGGTTCATTATAGCTATTCTATGTAGTTTTCTACTTAAGTATGTCATAATTTCAAAAGAGAAAAAGAGAAGGGAGAAAATTGTTCTAAGCTTTCAATGTGAAGGCCTGGCACTTTTAAAGAATAACAGCTTCTGTGGCCAGACTTTTAGTATCAGTATGGACTTTCCCTGGAGAAGTCCAGCCAGATGGGCAGACTGGGCAGATGCTTATACTGATTAGCTAGATTTAGCTAATGGGCAGAGCCGTCACAATGCACTGGTTGAAATGGTGCAAAAAAATAATGTAAGGCTTTTTTTTTTTTGGTACAGGATCTGGCTCTGTTGCCTATGCTGGAGTACAGTTGCTCAATCTTGGCTCACTGTAACCTCCGTTTCCTGGACTCATGCCATCCTCTCGCTTCAGCCTTCTGAGAAGCTGGGACTACAGGAATGCACCATCACACCCGGCTAATTTTTGTATTTTTTGTAGAGATGGGGTTTCACCGTGTTAACTAGGCTGGTCTCATAACCGCCCAATGTGTTTACCTTGCCCGCTGCCTAGACAGAGCCGATTTCTCAAGACAGAGGAATTGCAATATAGAAAGAGTAATTCACGCAGAGCCTGCTGTGTGGGAGACAGGAGTTTTATTATTACTCAAATCAGTCTGCCCAAGAATTCGAGGAGCAGAGTTTGTTTTTGTTGTTGTTGTTTTGTTCTGTTTTTTGAGATGGAGTCTCTCTCTGTCACCCAGGCTGGAGTGCAATGGCAAAATCTTGGCTCACTGCAACCTCCACCTCCCAGGTTCAAGTGATTCTCCTGCCTCAGCCTCAGTAGCTGGGATTACAGGCCTGTGCCACCATACCCAGCTGATTTTTGTATTTTTAGAGACAGGATTTCACCAAGTTGGCCAGGCTGGTCTTAAACTCCTGACCTCAGGTGATCCACCTGCCTCAGCCTCCCAAAGTGCTGGGATTAGAGGCACGAGCCACCTCGCCCAGCCTGGGGAGCAGAGTTTTTAAGGACAACTTGGTGGGTCAGGGGAAGCCAGTGAGCCAGGAGTGCTGATTGGTCAGAGATGAAATCACAGGGAGTCTAAGCTGTCTTCTTGCGCTGAGTCAGTTCCTGGGTGGGGGCCATAAGATCAGATGAGCCAGTTAATCAATCTGGGTGGTACCGGCTGATCCATCAAGTGCAGGGTCGACAAAATGTCTCAAGCACTGATCTTAGGAGATGTTTAGGGAGGGTCAGAATCTTGTAGCCTTCACCTGCATGACTCCTAAACCGTAATTTCTTTCTGTTTTGTTTTCTTTTTTTTCTTGAGACAGAGTTTCGCTCTTGTTGTCCAGGCTGGAGTGCAATGGCGCAATCTCGGCTCACTGCAATTTCTGCCTCTGGGGTTCAACCCATTCTCCTGTCTCAGCCTCCTGAGTAGCTGGGATTACAGGCACATGCCACCACGCCCAGCTACTTTTTGTATTTTTAGTAGAGATAGGGGTTCATGATATTGGTCAGGCTGGTCTCGAACTCCTGACCTCAGGTGATCCGCCCGCCTCTGCCTCCCAAAGTGCTGGGATTACAGGCATGAGCCACTGCACCCAGCCTAAACCATAATTTCTAATCTGTGTTAGTCCTACAAAGGCAATCTAGTCCCCAGGCAAGAAGGAGGTCTGTTATTGTCTTTGTTTTAAAGGGCTATTAAAACAAAGGGAAAGGGCTATTATTGTCTTTGTTTTAAATTATAAACCAAGTTTCTCCCAAAGTTAGTTCAGCTTAGGCCCAGGAATGAATGACAGCTTGGAGGTTAGAAGCAAAATGGAGTCGGTTAAGTTAGATTTCTTTCACTGTCTCAGTCATAATTTTGCAAAGGCAGTTTCAGTCTCTAACTCCTGCGCTCAAGCAATTCACCCACCTCGGCCTCCCAAAGTGTTGGGATTACAGGCATGAGCAACCATGCCCAACCTGTAAGGCCTTTTTAAAAAAATATAAAATCAGATATGAAGTTTTCTTTGGACTGGGCGTGGTGGCTCACGCCTGTAGTCCCAGCACTTTGGGAGGCTGAAGCACGTGGATCACCTGAGGTCAGGAGTTCGAGACCAGCCTGGCCAACATGGTGAAATCTCATCTTTACTAAAAATAAAAATAAAAACTATCCAGCCGTGGTGATGGGCGCCTGTAATCCCAGCTACTCAGGAGGCTGAGGCAGGAGAATCATTTGAACCTGGGAGGTGGAGGCTGCAGTGAGCCGAGATCTCGCCATCGCAAATCAGCCTGGGCAACAAGAGGGAAACACACAACTCTGTCTCAAAAAAAAAAAAAGGTTTCTTTGAAGAATTGTTGCCAGAAAGTGGTCATGATCCAAACCCCAAGAGAGAGTTCTTGGATCTCATGCAACAAAGAATTCAAGGCAAATCCATAAAGTGAAAGCAAGTTTATTAGAGAAGTTAAGAAACGAAAGAAGGTTACTCCAAAGGCAGTGCAGCCCTGAGGGCTGCTGTTTGCCCATTGTTAAGTTATTTCTTGATTATATGCTAAACAAGAGGCAAATTATTCATGCCTCCCCTTTTTAGATCATATAGGGTAACTTCCTGATGTTTCCATGGCATTTGTAAACTGTCAGGTTGCTGGTGGGAGTGTAGCAGTGAGGACAACCAGAGGTCATTCTCATCGCCATCTTTGTTTCGGTGGGTTTCAGCCGGCTTCTTTACTGCAACCTCTTTTATCAGCAAGGTCTTTGTGACCTATGTCTTGTGCCGATCTCCTATCTCATCCTATGACCTAGAATGCCTCAAGTGTCTGGGAATGCAGCCCAGTACGTTTCAGCCTCATTTTATCCAACCCCTATTCAAGATGGAGTTGCTCTGGTTCAAATGTCTCTGACAGAATGGAAGTCCCCTTTCTATTTGTTTGTTTTAAAAAATAAAGTCAGGCCGGGCGCGGTGGCTCATGCCTGTAATCCCAGCACTTTGGAAGGCCGAGGCAGGCGGCTCATGAGCCGGGCGTGGCGAGCGCCTGTAGTCCCAGCTACTCGGGAGGCTGAGGCCGGAGAATGGTGTGAACCCGGGAGGCGGAGCTTGCAGTTAGCCAAGATCGCACCACTGCACTCCATCCAGCCTGGGCGACAGAGCGAGACTCCGTCTCAAAATAAATAAATAAATAAATAAATAAATAAATAAATAATTAAAAAAATAAAAAATAAAGTCAGAGTTTCTGCTATATTGCCCAGGCTGGAGTTCAGTGACTATTCACTGACGAGATCACTGTGCACTATAACCTGGAAATCCTACAGTCTTGAACTCCTGGACTCAAGGGATCCTCCTGCTTCAGCCTCCAGCGTAGCTGGGACTACAGGCACGCACCACCACATCAGGCTCAGAAGATCACTTTTAATTAGCAAAAGGCTCACTAGCAAGATTTGAAAAACTTCAAAAAGCTAAGTATAACTCTCAAATCGAATGCATTTTTACTTTGCACATACTGTTCTCAAGATTCTGGCATCCAAGAAAAAAAAAATAATACTTCTCCTAGGGCTAATAAATTTGTAAAGACTTGCTATTACATGACTTGTTTCAAATGTTTGCAGCATATTGTTTATATAAATTATAATGGTTTCCGTGAAATTTAATAATGGTTCAAAATTTGTATCATTTGAGATAAGTGAGGCATCAGTGAATTTACTATGCTTTTCCCACGTTGTGTTATATTCAAAGACAAAAATCTATGGCTAGGTATGGTGGCATACGCCTGTAGTCCCAACTACTCCTCAGACTGAGGCGAGAGAATCGCTTGAACCCGGGAGGCAGAGGTTGCAGTGAGCTGAGATCGTGCCACTGCACTCCAGCCTGGGTGACAGAGCAAGACTTTATCTCAAAAATTTAAAAATAGGCCGGGAGCAGTGGCTCACACGTGTAATCCCAGCACTTTGGGAGGCCGAGGCAGGCGGATCACGAGGTCAAGAGATTGAGATCATCCTGCCCAACCTGGTGAAACCCCGTCTTTACTAAAAATACAAAAATTAGCAGGGCATTGTGGTTCGCACCCGTGGTCCCAGCTACTCAGAAGGCTGAGGCAGGAGAATCGCCAAGATCACGCCACTGCACTCTGGCCTAGGCGACAGAGCAAGACTCCATCTCAAAAAAAAAAAAAAAAAAAATAGAAACACAGTGGCTCACACCAGTCAGTAATCCCAGCACTTTGGGAGGCCAAGGCAGGTGGATCACGAGATCAAGAGTTCGAGACCAGCCTGACCAACTTGGCAAAACCCCATCACAAAAAACAAACAAACAAAAAAACTCTCGGCAAAACAGAGCAAGGCTCCATCTCAAAAAAAAAAAAAAAAAAAAAAATTAGCCAGGCGCGATGGCGGTTGCCTGTAATACCAGCTACTCAAGAGGCTGAGGCAGGAGAATCACTTGAACCCGGGAGCTGGAGGTTGCACTGAGCTGACATCGCACCATTGCACTCCAGCCTGGGTGACAGAGCGCGACTCTGTCTCAAAAAAAAAAAAAAGAAAGTGATCACATTTTGGGAATGCATTGACTATACCCTAAAAAGCTCAGGAGAATATACAGTTGAGGCTGGGTGTGATGGCTAACGCCTGTAATCCCAGCACTTTGGGAGGGCGAGGCAGGTGGATCACCTGAGGACAGGAGTTTAAGACCAGCCTGGCCAACATGGTGAAACCCCATCTCTACAAAAATACAAAAATTAGCCGGGCATGATAGTGGGTGCCTGTAATCCCAGCTATTTGGGAGGCTGAGGCAGGAAAATCGCTTGAACCCGGGAGGCGGAGGCTGCAATGAGCCGAGATGGCGCCATGGCACTCCAGGCTGGGTGACAGAACGAGACTCCGTCTTGAAAAAAATGACATCACTATACTTCACATGGGCTCATTTATTGTCATTATTATTATTATTTTTTGAGACAGAGTCTCACTCTGTCGCCCAGGCTGGAGTGCAGAGGTGTGATCTCGGCTCACTGCAACCTCCACCTCCCGGGTTCAAGTGATTCTCCTGCCTCAGCCTCCTGAGTAGCTGAGACTACAGGTGCCCGCCACCACGCCCAGCTAATTTTTTGTATTTTTAGTAGAGACCGGGTTTCACCATATTGGCCAGGATGGTCTTGATCTCTTGACCTCGTCATCCGCCCGCTTCGGCCTCCCAAAGTGCTGGGATTACAGGTGTGGCGCTCATGTATTTTGTAATATATTTTCTTTTCTTCTTTCTTTTTTTTTTTTGTGTGTGTCTGTGTGTGTGTGTGTAGAGGCATGGTCTAAATATGTTGCCTGGGCTAGTCTCAAACTCCTGGGCTTAAGTAATCCACCCACTTTAGCCTCCTAAAGTGTTGGGATTACAGGCATGAGCCATTGTGCCCAGCCTGTTATAGACTTTAAAATAAATTTGTTTATGTATTTGCTTATACCCTGCACACCCTAAGTGCAGTGTAGCCTCAACATGTCCAAGCAGAGCCCTTGACCTTCTCCACAAAACTCCTCCTCTTTTGGTGCCTGTCTCCCTGTGACTGACTTTGCCAGCCACCCAGTTGCTCAAGCCAAAAATCTGACATTCTCCCTCCAACTACCTTCTCTGCTCGCCCCACCCATTTCATGTCTTATCCATCTCCAGGTCCTGCTGGTTCTGCCTGTTAAGAACCTTCCACATCTCTGACCTCTCTGCATCTTCACAACTACACTTTTGTTCAGGTCCTCTTGCCTCTTGCCTGGATGACTACAGTGGTGTCCTAACTATCTTTCCTCATCCTCACCCAATTACTGCCAATCTATTCTCCATTTTGTAGCTAGCGTGTTCTTTCAAAAATGCAAATACCTTCACATCACTGCCTAAATTAAAGAGCACCCCCTCTCATTGCTGAAGTGTAAAGTCCCATGATCTGATATGTTCCCTTATCAACTAACAAGGGCCCTACAGTTAAGAAAACCAAAGTTACTTCTGGCTGGGAGTGGTGGCTCATGCCTGTAATCCCAGCACTTTGGGAGGCTGAGGCGGGTGGATCATGAGGTCAGGAGTTCAAGATCAGCCTGACCAACATGGTGAAACCCTGTCTCTACTAAAAGTACAAAAAATTAGCTACGCATGGTGGCGGGCGTCTGTAATCCCAGCTACTCAGGAGGCTGAGGCAGAGAATTGCTTAAACCTGGGAGGCGGAGGTTGCAGTGAGCCGAGATCGCACCACTGCACTCCAGCCTGGGCGACAGAGGGAGACTCCATCTCAAAAAAAAAAAAAAAAGAAAAGAAAAAAAGAAAACTAAAGTTACCTACAGGTAGAGGGTTCAGAGTCTGGCTGGCATGGCAAATTTCTAAATTCCTATGGCTATAAGAAAAGCCATAGTCTTACTATAAACTCTCTAACAATAGGGAGTTAGGAGCTATCAGACCCCTCTTAACTATGATTTACAACCCAGATCACTACAACTCCGAGTAGACGAAGGACAGGCCTTCCAAACATTCTGTTTTTATTTTATTTTATTTTATTTTATTTTTTTGAGACGGAGTCTCACTCTGTCGCCAGGCTGGAGTGCAGTGGTGCGATCTTGGCTCACTGCAACCTCTGCCTCCCGGGTTCAAGTGATTCTCCTGCCTCAGCCTCCTGAATAGCTGGGACTACAGGTGTGCCACCATGCCCGGCCAATTTTTTTTGTATTTTCAGTAGAGATGGGGTTTCACCATGTTGGTCAGGCTGTTCTTGAACTCCTGATCTCAGGTGATCCACCAGCCTTGGGCTCCCAAAGTGCTGGGACTACAGGCGTTAGCCACCATGCCTGGCTGAATGTGATCGCCTTCAATGATGGCAGCACCCCTACATTTTACACAGGACCACCAGTAGGGTGGATAGGTGAGCGGCCTGTAGGTGGAATGAGAAGGGCAGTCCCTTTCTTTTCCTTCTTTTTTTAGTAGAGAAGTGGTCTCACTATGTTGCCCAGGCTGATGCTGAATTCCTGGTCTCAAGCAATCCTCCCACCTTGGCCTTCCAAAGTGCTGGGATTATAAGGGTAAGCCACTGCACCAGGCCAAGCAGTCACTTTGACATAAAGAAAGTCCATCCCTTGACCAGCACAGCTAACCTGGGAGAGCAGAAGATCAGCACATCAATTGAAGAGAAGAGAGGACATTAATGGGAAGAGCCTGTTGGGTTGTGGAACAACCTTCCTGAAAGCTTTGAGAGGAGATAGGCAGAGCTATTCCCAGAGGACAATCTGGCATGTAGCACAGAGGCTGTGGAGTGGATGGGATGACTTTCCTGGGTGCCAGTGAAGCATGTGGCGCGACACCATCAGTGAGGGACACACAGGACGAAGGACTCCTTTGACTACCTGCCACTCTAAGGTAACAGAGATACCACCACAGTTGGAACACAAAGAATGGGGGCGGGGGAGCCATCACTAGGACCCACACATACAGCTCAAGCTTAAGGGTCAAAGTGGACCAGCCGGTAGCCCAATCATGTGCGATCCATAAAAGAAATACCTCTCTGCTAGCAGAATTGATCCTACAAGGCTACAGAACCCCATGAGCGCCCAATGGGAGCGAGTTCTCTGCTGGCACAGGCTGGCCCTTGGCTCTGTAGAGTGACTTAGGAAATTTCAAGGAAGATACTCCAAAGTGCAGAGTCCCTTCAAACACAGGGTCCGAGGCAGGGCCCAGGCCACTCAGGCTACTCCACGGTACTCTGTGGAGGCATAGCAACAATGTCTAGGCTGGGTGCAGTGGCTCATGCCTGTAATCCCAGCACTTTGGGAGGCCATGGAAGGCAGATGGCTTGAGTCCAGGAGTTTGAGAAATAACAGTGGCTTAAACAAGAGACAAGTGAATTTTTCCTGTAAGCAAATTCTGAGATAACCAGTCCAGGACTGGTGCAGAACTTCCAAGATTACCAGGAAGGCAAGACATTTCTAATTTGTGGTTCTTTTTTCTTTTTTTTTTTTTTTTTTGAGATGGAGTCTCACTCTGTCGCCTAGGCTGGAGTGCAGTGGCACAATCTTGGCTCACTGCAAACTTCCCCTCCCGGGTTCAAGCGATTCTCCTGCCTCAGCCTCCCAACTCCCAAGTAGCTGGGATTACAGGCACATGCCACCACGCCCAGCTAATTTTTGTATTTTTAGTAGAGACGGGGTTTCACCGTGTTGGCCAGGCTGGTCTCAAACTCCTGACCTCAGGCGATCTGCCCTCCTTGGCCTCCCAAAGTGCTGAGATTAGAGGTGTGAGCCACCACGCCCGGTGAAGCTTGTGGTTCTTCTATTCTCAACAAATGGCATGGTTTGACGGGGAAGGGCATACTCCTTCCTTTAGGGCTCTCCCTGAAATGTGGATATATTACTTCCATTTGTGCTCTATTGGCCAGAGCACTGTCCATTGCCATACCTAGTCTCAAGAGAGGCTGGGAGTTGAGATCTTTTTTGGTGGCCATGTGTCTTGCAAAAAAAAAAATCTAGGGTTTATTAACAGGAAAAGATTGGAGAAACAATACTGGGGGGAAACTAACAGCCTCTATCAAAGGCTCAGTGTCAGTATCAGTATTATGCTCAGCTGTGAGAGGCTGGACCAAGGTTGAGAGCCTGAGCCACAGCACCCTGTGTGGGCAGGACACCCCTGGGCAGGCCTGTAGCACTCGAGGTGGCCGGGCAGAAAACCTTGCCCTGTGGGGATCTCTATAGCAGATGGTGGCAAACTGCATGATGCAGAAGAAAAGGAGTGTTTACTCTTTTTCCCCATGTTGCCCAGGCTGGTCTTGAATTCCTGGGCTCACTCCAGCACAGACTTTGCCCCTGTAAACCTTCACCCTTCCCCATCCTGGAAGTAGGGAATCCCGACCAACTGACAGATTTGTAGGAGACTCCTGCTCCTATCCCCAGGGTAAAGCCTTCATGGTCTGCCCCCTCCTACCCATCCCGCCAGCCTCAGCTCCCCAGACTGTTCCGTGCTGCAGCCCTTCTCAGTTCTGCACACTTGATGAGCCCGGCTCTGGCCTGTCGTGCCCTGCTGCTGCTGCTCAGGGATACGTACAATTGTACAGACTGTGCTAAGAACTTCACATGCATGATCTCTTTTAGTTTTTGTCGCTGCCTCTCTGCTCATCTGTACTCCTCACTGGGCAGGAACTTTGAGAAATGGAGGCCCACATCTGTTGTGTTCACTGCTGTAATCCCAGCAAGCAGCATGGTGCGGCACCTTCACAGGGCCTCTGGCTCCAGATCGTTGGCACACAGTAAGTGTTTCTTTTTTTAAAATTATTATTATTATTTTTATCGAGAAGGAGTCTCGCTGTGTTAGCCCAGGCTGGAGTTCAGTGGTGCGATCTTGGCTCACTGCAACCTCCGCCTCCTGGGTTCAAGCAATTCTCCTGCCTCAGCCTCCTGAATAGCTGGGATTAGAGGCCCGCCACCACGCCCAACTAATTTTTATATTTTTAGTAGAAACGCGGTTTCACCATGTTGGTCAGGCTGGTCTCGAACTCCTGACCTCATGATCCGCCTGCCTCACCCTCCCAAAGTGCTGGGATTACAGGCGTGAGCCACTGCACCCAGCCATAAGTGTTTCTTATGTTGAATTTGCAGCTTGTATAAAAATGAACCAAGACATTATGAAATACAGTCACTTTTTTTTTTTTCCTTTTGTGACTAATTTTTCTTAAGGAGCAGTGATCAGGGAAAGGAAGATGTTTCCCTAGAACTCCTCTAGAGGGCATATCTTCCCTGGATCTTTGACATTGATTTTCGGAGCGGTAATGGATCTTACACAAGGAGTGGCCATCCCCTAGGAGGCCTGTCCACGCAGATGGAGGGTGTGGTGGTGCTGAGTGATGTCTCCCTGGCAGCTTGGACTGGAGACCCTAGAGGGAGGTCTTCATGTCCAAAGGCAGGGATCTGGAAGAAGGGGAATGTGTGTGCACAGACTGCCCCCTGCCCTTTTTTTTTTTTCTTTGAAGACAGGATCTCACTCTGTCACCCAGGCTGAAGTACAGTGGTGTGATCATTACTCACTGCAGCCTCGACCTCCCAGGCTCAGGTGATCCTCCCACTTCAGCCTCCCGAGTAGCTGGGACTACACCTATGTGCCACCATGCCTGGCTAATTTTTTGTAGAGACAGGGTTTCCCCATGTTTCCCAGGCTAGTCTTGAACTCCTGGGCTCAAGCAATCCACCCACTTTGGCCTCCCAAAGTCCTGGGACTACGGGCATGAGCTACTGTGCCTGGTCTAGACTCCCCCTTTTTTTTTTTTTTAATGAGATGGAGTTTCACTCTTGTTGCCCAGGCTGGAGTCCAATGGCGCAATCTTGGCTCACCGCAACCTCTGCCTCCCGGGTTCTAGAAATTCTCCTGCCTGAACCTCCTGAGTAGCTGGGATTACAGGCATGCACCACCACGTCTGGGTAGTTTTGTATTTTTAGTAGAGATAGGGTTTCTCCATGCTGGTCAGGCTGGTCTCAACTCCCCACCTCAGGTGATCTGCCAGCCTCAGTCTCCCAAAGTGCTGGGATTACAGATTACAGGCATGAGCCACCGTGCCCGGCTTTTTTTTTTAGGCGGAGTTTTGCTCTTGTCGCCCAGGCTGGAGTGGAATGGTGCGATCTTGGCTCACTGCAACCTCCGCCTCCTGGGTTCAAGCAATTCTCCTGCCTCAGCCTCCCAAGTAGCTGGGATTACAGGCACCCACCACCACGCCCAGCCAATTTTTGTATTTTTAGTAGAGATGGTGTTTCACCATATTGGCCAGGCTGGTCTTGAACTCCTGACTTCAGGTGATCCACCTGACTCAGCCTCTCAAAGTGCTGGGATTACAGGCGTGAGCCACCACACCGGGCCTAGACTCCCATTTTTATTTAACGTCTTCCATTTCTTATCAGAGAAATGATAATAAAATATAGAAAAGCACAATTCTTTATTTTAACCCCACCTCTCGCTCACTTAAATGACCAGTTATTTCCAAGTCTGGATCTGAAAATTTCTATTATGAGAGACTCTCCAGGACCTTCATTCAGTTCCACGTGTAGTTGTGACATTGTGTGATATTGGCACACGGTTGGAAATAACACTTGTGTAGCAGTTTGAGATGAAATATAGGCAATGCCTGGCTTCTGAAAGTGCCTTCAGGCCTGATGTTACACAAGCATTCTCAGCCCAACTTGCCTCCCCTCCTATTTCTATCTCTACCTTTAGCTGGGTATTTGGATAGTTCAGGGGAAAAAGGGGTAAAGATGAGATGACAAAAGACACCCCAGCCGCTGGGCCCAGCACTTTGGGAGGCTGAGGTGGGTGGATTACTGAGGTCAGGAGTTCGAGACCAGCCTGGCCAACATGGCAAAACCCTGTCTCTACAAAAAATACAAAATTTAGCTGGGCATGGGGTGCAGGCTTGCAGTCCCAGCTATTTGCGGGGGGAGGGGAGCTGAAGCAGGAGAATAGCTTGAACTTGCAAGGTGGAGTCTGCAGTGAGCCGAGATTGTGCCACTGCACTCCAGCCTGGGTGACAAAGTAAGACCCTGGCTAAAAACAAACACACACAAAAATATATCATTATGCATTTCTGAAAGCAAATGTGCTATAATACTGCTTTGATCTGAATGTCCCCCAAAATTCATATGTTGACATTTAATCTCAACTTTGGTGGTATTAAGAGGTGAGGTTGTTTGGGAAGTAATTAAGTCATGAGGACTCCACTCCCATGAATGAATTGAGGGAAAGGGCTGGAGGGAAGGGCTGGAGGGAACTAGCTTCGGCCCTTTTTTGTCCTTCTACCATGTGAGGACACAGCATTCATCTCCTCCGGAGGATGCAACAACAAGGCTCTATGTGAAGAAGGAACCAGGTCCCTCACCAGACACTGTACCTGCCGGCACCTTGATCTTTCACTTCCCAGCCCTCCAGATCTGTGAGAAACACATTTCTGTTGTTTATAAATTACTCTGTCTCAGGTATTTTGTTATAGTAGCACAAACAGACTTAGACAAATAACGTTTTATGTTTACAACCCATAGGAGGAAAATTCTGGATTTGGAATCTATCTTGGCAAGATAATACATAGATATGATTATAAGAAAATCAGTGAGGTCATAAACAGTGGCTTACCAACATAGGTTGGTATACAAATATAACTTCACATAACAAATATAGTTGACTTGAAGTAAACAAACACAATCTACTATAGCATTCTGACAAATGTAGTTTCCTATAACAAATAATCAAAGCCTTAAGTTTCAGGTTACAGTTTTCAGAGTTAGTAGTAGCCAATTACTGCCAGGCATAGTGGCTCAAACCTGTAATCCCAGCACTTTGGGAGGCCAAGGTGGGAGGACTGCATGAGCCCAGGAGTTTGAGACCAGCCTGAGCAACATGGTGAGACCCTGTCTCTATTTTATTTCATTAAAAATTTTAAAATATTGGCCAGGAGCAGTGGCTCATGCCTGTAATCTCAGCACTTTGGGAAGCTGAGGCAGGCGGATCACTTGAGATCAGGAGTTCCAGACCAGCCTAGCCAACATGGTGAAACCCCCTCTCTACTAAAAATACAAAAATTAGCCTGGCATGGTGGTGCACACCTGTAATCCCAGCCACTTGGGAGACTGAGTCAGAGTCGTTTGAACCTGGGAGGCAGAGGATGCAGTGAGTCCAGATCGCACCACTGCACTCCAGCCTGAGTGATAGAGTAAGACTCTGTCTTAAAATAAATAAAAAAAAATTATTTAAAAAAAGAAGTAGCCTATCTCAGAGGCTACGCGACTTTATTACAGTTTTAAAAATGGAATGGTAGGCCAGGTGCGGTGGCTCACACCTATAATCCCAGCACTTTGGGAGGCTAAGGCGGGCAGATCACGAGGTCAGGAGTTCGAGACCAGCCTGGCCAATATGGTGAAACCCCGTTTCTACTAAAAATGCCAAAATTAGCTGGGCATGGTGGCGGATGTCTGTAATCCCAGCTACTCAGGAGGCTGAGGCAGGAGAATCGCTTGAACCCGTGAGGCAGAGGTTGCAGTGAGCCGAGAACACGCCACTGCACTCCAGCCTGGGGGACAGTGCAAGACTCCGTCTCCTTGGCCAGGCACAGTGGCTCATGCCTGTCATCCCAGCACTTTGGGAGGCTGAGGCGGGTGGATCAGGAGGTCAGGAGATCGAGACCATCCTGGCTAACATGGTGAAGCCCCATCTCTATTAAAAATATAAAAAATTAGCTGGGCGTAGTGGCGGGCGCCTGTAGTCCCAGCTACTTGGGAGGCTGAGGCAGGAGAATGGCATGAACCCCGGAGGCAGAGCTTGCAGCAAGCCGAGATTGCGCCAGAGCCAGACTCTGTCTCAAAAAAAAAAAAAAAAAAAAAAAAGACTCCATCTCCAAAAAATAAAAAATTTTAAAAATGGAATGGTAGTTACCTTTGCTAGAGACTGAGCATGCATAAAAGTAATCTTAAATAACTTTTTCGCCTTTGGCCAAATGTTGGTTCATTGTGATTTGGAGTCTACCATTACTATAACTGTATCTGTACCTATACCAATATCTGTACCTGTACCTATACCTACATATGTACTTATACCTATACCATCTGTCCTCCCCTGAAAGACCTCATCAAAGTTCTCATCTTGCAATGTTTCCTGTTAAATATCATCATGACTACTTTTAACCTATTTGAATCAAGGCTGAGTTACAGCCTTTTAAATTTTTGAATAATTTTTTTTTTTTTTTGAGATGGAGTATTGCCCTCGTTGCCCAGGCTGGAGTGTGGTGGCACAATCTCGGCTCACCAAAACATCCACCTCACGGGTTCAAGCAATTCTCCTGCCTCAGCCTCCTGAGTAGCTGGAATTACAGGCACATGCCACAATGCCCGGCTAATTTTTTTTGTATTTTTAGTAGAGATGGGATCTCACCATGTTGGCCAGGCTGGTCTGGAACTCCTGACCTCAAGTGGTCCTTCTGCCTTGGCCTTCCAAAGTGCTGGGATTATAGGCATGATCCACCATGCCTGGCAATTTTTTTTTAAGAGCACAAATCCACGTTTATTTATTGACTTTTCTTTTTTCTTTCTTCTCTTTTTTTCTCTTTTTCTTTTTTTTTTTTTTTTTTGAGACGGAGTCTCGCTCTGTTGCCCAGGCTAGAGTGCAGTGGCACGATCTCGACTCACTGCAACCTCCACCTTCCAGGTTCAAGCAGTTCTCTGCCTCAGCCTCCCAAGTAGCTGGGATTACAGGTGCCCGCCACCACACCCGGCTTTTTTGTATTTTTAGTAGAGACGGGGTTTCACCATCTTGGCCAGGCTGGTCTTGAACTCCTGACCTCGTGATTCACCCGCCTCAGCCTCCCAAAGTGCTGGGATGACAGGCGTGAGCCACCGCACCCGGCCTATTGACTTTTCATTAGTTTAAATCCTTGAAGGGTACAGCATCACTCGGATTCTGTGTCCAATAGCCTTAGTGGGAAGATTGCTTCAGAATTTGGCACGAATCATGTCACTGTTTCCGTGGGCCTGCCTCAGCCTCCCGAGTAGCTGGGATTACAGGCGGCCGCCACCACGCCTGGCTAACTTTTTTGGTTTTTTTTTTTTTTTTTTTTTTTGAGACGGAGTCTCGCTCTGTCTTCCAGGCTGTAGTGCAGTGGCGCGATCTCCGCTCACTGCAAGCTCCGCCTGCCGGGTTCACGCCATTCTCCTGCCTCAGCCTCCTGAGTAGCTGGGACTACAGGCGCCCGCCACCACGCCCGGCTAATTTTTTTTGTATTTTTAGTACAGAGAGTTTTTCACCATGTTAGCCAGGATGGTCTCGATCTCCTGACCTCGTGATCCGCCCGCCTCGGCCTCCCAAAGTGCTAGGATTACAGGTGTGAGCCAACGCGCCCGGCCACCAAATAGTGTAATTTTTACAGTTACACTTTGTAACTAGTGTTGCTGAAGACGGAAATGCAATTGATTTTGAAAATTGATTTTTTCCTCTTACTGATTTTTTATCCATCAACCTTGCTAAACTTATTTATCAATTCTATCTGAATTTTATTTTAGGGATGCTGCACATGCAATAATTTCATCTGCGAATATTAACATTAATGTTTCTTGTAGTCCTTATATATTTGTTGCTTATTGGACTGGCTACAACTTCCATTGTTTTATTGATGAGGATTATTGAGAGCAGGCATCCTTGCCTTGTTCCCCATCTTGAAAGGAACGCTTTCAACATTTCCCCATTATGGTGATGTGTTTTGCGAAATTTTTGAAGATGTCCTTTATCAGCTTCTGGAGTTTTAAAAAAAATATCAACGGGTGTTGAATATTTTGAGTGACTTTGCTGCATCAATTGAGATGAATACATTTTCCCCCTTTAATCTGCTAATGGGTCTATATTTCTCCATTCCATTTAAATTTTTTTTTAATTTGATAAATATCTTTTGCTATATGTTTCTTCTCAGGTCTCCCTTCTCAGTTATCCCCCTTTACCTTCCATTGTTGGTTTTCTCTAGTTTCTTCCTTTTCTTTTTACTGTGTTCTCTTCAAGCTCTTGCTTTTTGGAGTTTTCCCAGGATATCAAAGGTTGGGGGGATGGCAACATGGTTTTCAGACAGTGTGTCTCCCCACAATCTGCTTCTCTCTACAAGCTTGTTTGAAGCCAAGTTAAAGCAATGGATAGAAGACGGCAGCGCGGGTGTCAGACCTGCCAATTTCCAACTGCACACCAAATCCCCGAACATATGCTTGAGGCCCCTGCCTTTCGGTTTCATAAATAAAACCCTGTCCTGACTACCTCCAGGATTGGATGGAAACTCGGATGAGTAAATATGGTAGAACGACTTTGCAAACTAGCACCCTATTCACACGTAAGGGGTTGCTCTTGTCACCGAGACTGTTAGAGGCAACGTGAGTTAACAGAAATAGCTTGGATTTTGAAGCTAATGGAATCTAGATCCATTCCTAACCAGCAGTGTGACCTTATTGTGTAATCTTTCTGAACCTGTCTCCATCCATCTCTACAAAGAATGTGGCACAATGTAGGAACTCAGTGAATTTTCGTGATTAAAAGACGAGATAATACAGGTGCACAATCTGCAAAACATAAAATACTCCATAAATGGAAGCAGTAAATCTTCCCCGAGCTCGAGACTCCAAAGGCCCTGAGCCCAGTACCAGTAACAGCACCCAGGTAAGTAGGCTGGCTGAGAGAAGAGGGCTATAAAGAAAAGTTCTTTCCTGAGCTTTGAATCCCCACTGTCAGGCTTCAATGGAGCGCAAAAATTCCTAAATTTGGTGAGAAATGGCAACATTACCAGGGAATGAACAGACCAGGCCACTCACATCCACGTGAGGGCTCCAGGAGCCACTTCCGGGCCCAGTCAACCACGACCAGGAGAGGCAGCGCTGGAGCCTCAATCACGTCGACGGAAAACAAGTGCGCTCCCTACTGCAGTCACCAGGAGGCGCTAGTCCCGCCTGTCTCCCGGCACGGGTCCTCGTTTGCGCACGCGTCATTTCTTTCCTCCAGCGTCCCCGCCCCTTCTCCTCCGGCCGCCACCAGTTTCGCTTGGCCAGTTGCGTTCGTGCGGCGACGTCCACGCATTTTCTGACGTAGCGAGCGACGGCGGGGAGCCGAGCGGAAGTCCAGCACTATTGCCGCTAGAGGAGGGGAGGGGTGAGAAGCATAAGTGGCACCGGAAGTGGAATTAATCCGCCTACCTCTCCTGCGCCTGCGAAACAGAAAAGACAAGGCGCCTGTCGGGCGGGGTGTGGCTTCGGGTGGCGGAGAACGCTGCGATTGGCCCTCGGCTGTGGCGACAGCGACGATTGGTCCCTGCGTGCAGAGCGCGGTGAGAGTGGGTGGTGGCCGTTGGAATTCAAAAGTGGCGGGTGTGGCGCGGGGCTGGTAGCGGCC